>NC_000017.11:642626-794141 GCF_000001405.40 Homo sapiens | reverse complement strand
GCTTTTTCTAAACAAGGACAAGGTAATACATGGTTTATTCTTTCACTGTTATTTTGTAACGAGTCAGTGGGAGTATAACCCGGGGAACAAATCCCACGAGATTGGTTTTAGGCTGGAAAGATGTGAGCTTCCTTTTCGTGACTCCTGCTGCTTGAGCACTGTCCTGAGGTGTCTGGGGAGACTGGAGTGGGATGGATTTGCATTCTCCAGGCCGCCTTTCCGCCTGTCCTCTCTGCACCAGCCTTTGGGAGCAGTGTTGGGGGGACACTTGCATTGCCCATTCATGTGGAGCTCTGGGCAGGCCCAGACCACAGTGGGGCTCCAGAGCAGATGTTCAAATATTCAGATGTCAGCCTGGGAGGACACTGTCCCTGCAAACACCCCTCCCCCAGGGGAGAGCAATCCCAACCTGCCCCTTGGCACGTGAATCATGCTTGGTCATTTGGTTTTACTAGGAAGAGGGAGTTTGACTAGGAAGTTGGGGGAGTAGAAGAGAAAGAAGGTTTCTCCTGGGCACACCAGCAACACACTTGACCTCCCTGGAGTGAGCAGTGTCCAAACCATTACGGGAGCCGCTGGGCAGAGGGGTGTGGGGAAACGCTTCCTGTGTTGTCTTCAACTCCAACTCTGTGTGGCTGCAAAAGCAGTGCTTTTTTTTTTTTTTTTGAGACGGAGTCTCGCTCTGTCGCCCAGGCTGGCGTGCAGTGGCGCGATCTCGGCTCACTGCAAGCTCCGCCTCCCGGGTTCACGCCATTCTCCTGCCTCAGCCTCCCGAGTAGCACCTGCCACCACGCCTGGCTAATTTTGTGTATTTTTTTAGTGAAGACAGGATTTCACCGTGTTAGCCAGGACGGTCTCGATCTCCTGACCTTGTGATCCGCCGCCTTGGCCTCCCAAAGTGCTGGGATTACAGGCGTGAGCCACTGCGCCCGGCCTCCCGAGGTGCTGGGATTACAGGCGTGAGCCACTGCGCCCGGCCTCCCGAGGTGCTGGGATTACAGGCGTGAGCCACCGCACCTGGCCAGCAGTGCTTAAGAGTCCCATATTCCACCCACCCACCCCATCCCCACAGTTCCTTATAGATACATTGATGACCATCAGCACTTGCCCTGACACCCTGGCTACATCCTGGTTTGGCCGCTAGTAGGTAAAGATCCAGCTTGCCCTGGGCCCTGGAGGGGCTGAGAGAACAGAAGGGTCCTGCCGCTGTATTGTGGGCGTTCATTCTCAGAACCTTGGCCTCTAAACATTGGGGGATGAGACGTAAGTAGGACTAACACAGGGAACCAGGAAACAGTGACACTTTCCTGACACATGCAGGGTGAGGCTGCCGATTTTGAAATTCAGTTTTCCGCATAGACTTCCGTCTCTGCAAAGTCCTCAAAAAGGTATCTGCAGAGGTGCCAAGAAGGTCTGACATGGCCTGTTGAATTAAGCCGTTTCTATGGATACATAAACAGTGGCTCAGTGAAGCCCTGAACAATCTCAAAGACAGACCATCTGAGCCCAGAGCAGAGCTGCTGGATGCCATGAGCGTAGCCCTCAGCTTCCTGGTGTTCCCTTAGCCACGTCCTCGTTACCAGGCCAAACGTGACAGGTACTGTGACACACCAACGACACAAAACAACTTACTAACGTAATCTGCTGCTCATAGTTTATTTTCCACCAACCAGTGATCAGCTGTGAGTGATGTGGCTGTGACCTATAGCTGGTGCTTGGCGATTACAAACACCCACCAGCTGGTGGAGCAGGCGCCTCCCTGCCAGGATGATGCTTCAGGAACTTTCTGGGCACAAAGTGCTTCTTGGTGGACAATTTTTAAAAACACACAGAGCCACGTGGGTCACCTATTGTCACCAAGAGAAAAAAGAACCTCAAAATCAGTGACGCGACAGGAAGAATTCGGACCTGTTCTTTCTGAGGAAGTTCTTATTTTTCCTGTAACTGTATGACGGCATCACACCTTCCTCCTGAACGTGGGGGCCATAGTCACTGACTCCGCCAGCCTCCCACCAGTGTGCTGGTGTAGGAGGAGCTGCAGACGTCCTCAAGCAGAAGTCACTTCTGCGTCCTCAGTGGTAACTCCTGTCCCTGCTCAAGTCCTCCGCCCTCCCCCGCAGCTGTCTTTTCCCTTCGAAAAGCAGGATGCTTGCCGCCATGGCCGAGTTGAGGCTGTCCACACCAGGCACAACGGGGATCAGCAGCCTCTTGCCACCAGTGCTCTCGGCCAGCTGCAGGGACTCCAGGCTCACGCCGTAGGTCTCCCCGCCAATCACCACAGCTGCCGGCGCCTCTGTCCAGTCCGAGTCGTAACTCTGAACCTCAACATGAGGCAGCCAATCTTGACTGGCTCCGGTTTCTACATCTTCCTCTTCCTCATACTTGTGAAACTTCATCACTCGTTGATCACACACCCAGCCATGGTCACTAGCTTTATTAGACATCTCAGCCTGGGCATAAAGGCCACAGTTGTCAGCCACATAGACCCGAGTGTCAGGGGGCAGGTAATTGGGCACGGTTTCCCATTCCAGATTATTGATAATGGGCATCCGGAAATGTGCGCCCATACCCGCCCGGAGCACTTTGGGCTCCCAGGCATCCACACAGCCTGGAAAATAAAAAGGAAACAATCAAGATGTTACAAATCTTCCCAGACCAGGGGACTGTGGAGTAAGTCTGATCAATTTTGGATCAGGAGATAAACCAGTTCTTCTATGATAGCTTTCTTGAGGGATGGGACCTTCTGCCTCTCTCTGACAGCATCCAGCACAGCGACTATAGGAGTCACTCCTGCTAGTGCTGAAGATATTTTATGCATCCCTTCAACATCTCCCATTCACACGTGCCAGACACTGCGCAGAAGATGCAAAGATAATGAAAGTCCCCAACCCCAAGGAACGCACAGTGTAGTGGGGTGGTATTAAACAGATGGCTACAGTATCAGTAACTGATGTAAAAGAAGCACCCACACAGTCATAGAAAACCCACGGACAAAGCAGGGCGATGAGGAAAACCATCTAAAAGACCACCACACTGAGATAAAGGCCCAGGCAGAGGACAGAGCTAGGAGAGGAAGCGGGAGAGTGGCGCAGCCTAAGGACTGCAAGCATGGTGAGCCGGCCAATCAGCGGTGGCGCTGTGGCGGCACAGGAGGTGAGCCAGCCAATCAGCCGGTGGGGGTGTGGTGGCACAGTTGAGGTGGCCAATCAGCGGGTGGGGGGGGGGTGTGGTGGCACAGGAGGTGAGCTGGCCAATCAGCGGGTGGGGGTGTGGTGGCACAGGTGAGCCTGCCAATCACTGGTGGTGCTGTGGCGGCACAGGGGGTGAGCCGGCCAATCAGCGGTGGCGCTGTGGCGGCACAGGAGGTGAGCCAGCCAATCAGCCGGTGGGGGTGTGGTGGCACAGTTGAGGTGGCCAATCAGCGGGTGGGGGGGTGTGGTGGCACAGGAGGTGAGCTGGCCAATCAGCGGGTGGGGGTGTGGTGGCACAGGTGAGCCTGCCAATCACTGGTGGTGCTGTGGCGGCACAGGGGGTGAGCCGGCCAATCAGCGGTGGCGCTGTGGCGGCACAGGAGGTGAGCCAGCCAATCAGCGGGTGGGGGTGTGGTGGCACAGGCAGTGAGCCGGTCAATCAGCGCTGGGGCTGTAGTGGCACAGGAGGTGGGAGGTGGGCAGGCCAACACGGAGGAGGCCTCCTATGGGAAGCTGAGGAGTTTGGCATTTTATCAGAAGACAGTATCATGCCATTGAGGGATCTTAAGCAAAGCAGTGACAGAATCAGATCTATAGTTTCATCAAGACCCATTGGGCTTCAACGTTCAGTCTGCACCGGAGCAGGGAACACTCTAGAGATGAGGCAATGAGGCAAGAGGCAACCCCGGCAGCAGCCTGCGACGCCTGGCCTTTCCCAGGGGCGGCTCCTCACCACGGGCGGGCTGGGAGAGTGGCCGAGGGTGGGGCCTCGCAGTGACTGCATGGCCTCCCACCCTCCCCCGCACAGCTTGTTAGCGCAAGTCTTCTCCTGACGAGTTATTTTAGAAGTTCATTTGTCAAACCTCGGGATAGACGAACCAGGCAAACCAGATTTTAAACGGAGAATAAGACACAGAGGATGTAACAGCGCCTGCACCCCCAGCCACGGGCTTTCCCTCTCCCTGCAGGAAACCAGAGATAGGCCCAGGCGTGTGAGAGGAGCGGCCGAGGCTGACCCCTCTGCCTGGAGGGGAGAAGGGAAAGGGGAAAGGCGAGACTCCTCCCGTCATCCTCATGTCCTGGATACTGGGCACCACACCAAGTATTTCCTACCTTCTTTCCCTATTTCTTACACCCCAGCCATCAGTATCAATGTGAAAACCACAATGCTTGGATTATTTAGATTTATTTCCAAATCCCACAACAGCTATCAGAGCACTAAATAATGGGGCGAGTAAGCGGGTACTGATCACAGAACCCCAGCACGTAGCTCTCACACTGGCACAGAAACGTATTCTAGCAAGGCGTGACTGAGAAAGAGCTGCGAGCAGCAATTTAGGCAAGTCTCAACAACGGGTGCCACTATTAGTTTACTTTTAATGGTGGCTGGGGTGTTTCTGATGAATGGTACTCTCTGTCCCCTCCACCTCCCAAGGTGTAAGAGACATTTTAGGCGTGCTCCAACTGTGAGGAAAGTCTGTTTAGAGCCAAGCCTATTAATCCCTATTTCTGATGAGAAGAGACAGAAATGTAATGAGGCGAATTTGTGTGCGGGGCATGTGACCCACGCTGAGGCTAAGGGAATCTAAGGGAAACGGATCACAATGACATTAGGATTCAGAGCTGCTGACGTCATTCCTTTCATAGGATTCAGAAGTCAAGACTCAGGAGTGGCTCATATACTCAGCAATTTGGGAACTCAATATCATTACATAAAGAACCAGAAACCAAGTGTTAAAATTGGCATCTATTTCTTTTCCATAATCGATGTGAAGTTCTCTAACAGCCTAGCAGGTTTCATGATAATTTTAAAAGATAATAAACATGGCTGGGTATGGCGGCTAATGCCTATAATCTCAGCACTTTGACAGGCCGAGGCAGGAGGATCCCTTGAGCTTAGGAGTTCCAGATTAGCCTGGGCAACACAGCAAGACCCCGTCTCTACAAAAAACATAATTTTTAAAAAAGAGAATCAACATTGACTGAATTACTCGTGAGGCAGGTAAGGTATGAAGTAACTTCTGTGCATCATCTCACTTAATCCTCACAGTGACCAGGGAGATTCTGTTATTCCTCCCAGTTCACCAACGAGGAAGCTGACACTTCAGGGACTACTGCTCAGGGACCACAGCTAGTGAAGGCAGACCCATCCAAAGCCGTGTCTGCCTGCCCAGAGCCCTAGCTCACCTAACAATGGTCGACTTGGCTGGGCGTGGTTATTCATGCCTGTCATTCCAGCTACTGCTCAGGGACCACAGCTAGTGAAGGCAGACCCAAGATCCAATGCATGTCTGCCTGCCCAGAGCCATAGCTCACCTAACAGTGATTGACTTGGCTGGGCATAGTTGTTCATGCCTATAATTCCAGCACTTTGGGAGACTGAGGCAGGAGGACTGCTTGAGTCAGAGCCAGTTCAACACCAGCCTGGGCAACATAGTGAGACCCCATCTCTTTAATAAAAAAAAAAAAAAAAAAAAAGACCAGACCAACTAATCCACCTGGTTTATTATTTTTTTGAGAGGGAGTCTCACTCTGTCGCCCAGGCTGGAGTGCAGTGATGAGCTCACTTGACATGTGATGAGCTTTGACATCCCAGGCTCAAGCAATCCTCCCACCTCAGCCTCCCAAGTTGCTGGGACTGAGTACAGGCACACCCCACCACACCCAGCTAATTGTAGTTTTTTTTGTAGAGATGAGGTCTCACTATGTTGCCCAGGATGGTCCTGAACTCCTGGGCTCAAGTGACCCTCCTGCCTCGGCCTCCCAAAGGGCTGGATTACGAGTGTGAGCCACTATGCCTGGCCTTTGATGTCCTTACCTTTGGTGAGTAACACTTTGCTGCAGCCTGCCCCAGCTGCAGATCTCAGAATTGTCCCCAGGTTCCCAGGGTCACGGAGATTGTCACAAATCAATAATAAAGGCAGTGAATGCTGAAGCTGAGTCTTTGGATATGTCATCTTAACATGGTCAGGCTTGGCAAAAATCCCTGAGGAAACAAAACAGGTGGTTTACTTGCCTGGTGTGGGCACGGGGAATAGTCTGACTTTTCATTTACTTATCAATCTTGATATGGTCTTAGTTACATAAAAATACAGGAATACAGGCCAGGTGTACTGGCTCATGCCTGTAATCCCAACACTTCGGGAGGCCAAGGCGGGTGGATCACCTGAGGTCAGGAGTCCGAGACCAGCCTGGCCAACGTGGCAAAACCTCGTCTCTACTAAAAACACAAAGATTAGCCAGGCGTGGTGGCGCATGCCTCTAGTCCCAGCTACCTGGGAGGCTGAGGCAGGAGAATCGCTTGAATCTGGGAGGTGGAGGTTGTGGTGAGCCAAGATCACGCCACTGCACTCCAGCCTGGGCGACACAGTGAGACTCCCTCTCAAAAAGAAAAAAAAGGAAAAAAAAAACCACGAATACATTCTGATTGGCAAAATTCAAACAACATAAAATTCTACCAGTACCACTCTCCTCCCCCTCAACTGTTCTGTTTTGGAGTGTATCCTTTTAGAACTTGTTCTATGCATCTACCTATATATATGCACACCTGTCCATATGTAAATGTGTTTTACATTCCGTGTCATACTCTGTATTATTCTGTAATCGACTTATTTACGCAACAATATATCTTGAACTTACCATGTCAATATGTTTGAAGCTACTTTTTTCCTTTAACTGCTGTAGGCTATTTTTTTTTGAGACAGAGTCCCACTCTCTCACTCTGTTGCCCAGGCTGGAGTACAATGGTGTAATGCTGGCTCACTGCAACCTCTGCCTCCCGGGTTTAAGCAATTCTCCTGCCTCTCAGCCTCCCAAGTAGCTGGGATTACAGGCACCCGCAACCACACCCGGCTAATTTTTTGTATTTTTAATAGAGACGGGATTTTGCCATGTTGGCCAGGCTGGTCTCGAACTCCTGACCTCAGGTGATCCACCCTCCTCGGCCTCCCAAAGTGCTGGGATTACAGTTGTGAGCCACCATGCCCAGCCTCTATTTTGTAGTATGAATGTACCACAGTTCATTTAGCTCTTCCCCTATGGACTGTTAAATTATTTGAATTTTTCCCTGTTACAAATGCTGCTGCAATGGGTATCCCTGTAGGACTGTCTGTCCATGTGTCTAAAAATTTCTCTAGCATAAATACCTGTGAGTGAAATGGACAAATGATGTGCGTGCACTATTAACGTTCACACAGGCTCTTTCAGTTTATTCACATCAGGAACTCATAAATACCTGTTTTCGGCTGGGCGCAGTGGCTCATGCCTATAATCCCAGCACTTTGGGAGGCTGAGGTGGGCGGATCACAAGGTCAGGAGTTTGAGACCAGCCTGAACAACATGGTGAAACCCCGTCTCTAATAAAAATACAAAAATTAGGCCAGGCACGGTAGCTCATGCCTGTAATCCCAGCATGTTGGGAGGCTGAGGTGGGCGGATCATGAGGTTAGGAGATCAAGATCATCCTGGCTAATACGGTGAAACCCTGTCTCTACTAAAAATAACAAAAAAATTAGCCGGGCGTGGTGACGGGCGCCTGTAGTCCCAGCTACTCGGGAGGCTGAGGCAGGAGAATGGTGTGAACCCGGGAGGCGGACCTTGCAATGAGCGGAGATCACGCCACTACACTCCCGCCTGGGCGACAGATCGAGACTTCGTCTCAAACAAACAAACAAAAAACAAAAATTAGCCAGGCATGGTGGCGCATGCCTGTAATCCCAGCTACTCAGGAGGCTGAGGCAAGAGAATTGCTTGAACCCAGGAGGTGGAGGTTGCAGTGAGGCAAGATCGCGCCACTGCATTCCGGCCTGGGCAACAGAGACACTATCTCAAAAACAAAAAACAAAACAAAACAAAACCTGTTTTCCAGCTCAAACCCTTCTTAAAAGCGGGTCTATCATTTGTTTCCATTTGTCCCAATGTGATAGAAAAAACAGCATGCCATTATTTTAACTTGCCTTTTCTCTGATTACTAGAGAAGCTAAACACCTTACTGACTGACTGCGATCTTCTTCAGTGAATTCCTGTGCTCCTTTAACTGTCTTGTTTCTACAACCTGTGCCCATCTTCCTACCAGGTAGGCTTTTAAAAAATAGTTTATAGGCTTAAATATTTAAAAAACAATTATTAGCCTGCTATACTGATTTATCTTTCCTTTATCACTCATTTTAAAATTCAAACTACATTCCTAGGAAAAAGAATATGAATTTCAAAACTTGAATGCATCAAAGTAACAACCCCTTTTTCAAATACGCTGGCTCAGAAGCACTGTCTTAGGGACATACTCTGCAAAACGAAGGGGCTGTAGGTGCAGTGAACGCTTGAGTCACTTCCAAGGCCTCACGCTGGAGGTCCAGAAGCCTGGGAGCTTTAGAATGGGTACAGCCACTTACTGGCGACCGCTCTGTCCTCAGTCTAATACAAAGGAGTAAAATGGGGTCTGGGACTATCTGGGAAAATGAAAACCCTAAGTGGCCTTCTTAGTGGAAAATTCTCTCCTTATTTAATGATCTCTACATGATAAAATTATATATACATTATATAATAATCTACATTATATAATCTCTACATTATTAATCTCTAAAGTTTTATGGAAAGAATTTATGGGAAAAGAGAAAAATTGGAAAAAGGCTAATAACAATATTAAAAATGGCTTTGAGTACATGAAATTGCTGTGGTATAGATGAAGTTATTCACATGGGTGTATCACATATCCACAAGTTTCTTTTTGAATCACCATGTTTACTGGTAGAGGTGATAATGATAACCTTTTAGTAAGCTTTTTTTTTTAAGCCAAGCACTACCCTAAACTCTTTATGTATAATTATCAAATATTCAATCCCTTTGTAGTCTGCTCCCAAGGGACTGTACAGTTTTTTTGAATCTTACTAGTATTTTGTCGTATATGATTGCTACAATAAATGGGCTACTGACTGAAGTCAGGAGATGAATGAAATAGTACTTGTACTGAAACATGATACAATCAAAGATTTAGGATTCTTTCTAAAAGATGGTGCAGGTAAAAAGCCTATCCACCACTGAAGGCAATGGAAGGGTATTAGGCGTCTGTGTGCTGTGAGAGAGCCTCCACTTCGGAGTCACAGATGGCCAAAAGCCATTCAGTAGGGCTGAGGACCTTAGAAGTCCTTTACTTCTACTTGGATGTCTGTGGTGATGAGAACCCACTATACGGAGGCCCTACTTATGTCGCTGGATTCTGGGGAGTGTCTGTCTAAAGCCTGACAGGTGCTGCCAGTTCCTATCCATTTCTCCCTTATTCCCTGCCCTCAAATCTAAAATATAGTAACATAAGGATAAGCCAGGAAATGATGAAAGCAGGTATGATGATGAAGTTCAAGATGGGTTGGCCACTGTAAGCACACCTGCCCCAAGTGACAAGCACAAGTTCAAGATGGGCTGGCCACTGTGAGCACACCTGCCCCAAGTGACAAGCACAAGTTCAAGATGGGCTGGCCACTGTGAGCACACCTGCCCCAAGTGACAAGCACGGTAAAAATGAATAACACTTTCACTGAAGCATGGCGTGTGGATTAGAGGGCTGTAGCTAGTGAGAATATGGTTACTTAGCATGAGTAATTCTAGGTACTTTAGTAATCCAAGTCCCCATCCTAGGATCTAAGAGCTCTGAGTGCAGAGGCACAGATCCCTGTGACTCACTGGGTTACAGAGACAAGAGATGGTTCCCCAGAATCTCCTCTCTCAGCAGTTCAAGGATTCAGTTTTCATATCTTAAAACTCCCATGTCAAAAACGTATGAAAAACTTATCTTCTCATATTTAGACCAAAGACTTTGTAACTGCTAATCAACATCGGAGTTACATAAGGTTAAGTCAGATTCAGCCAAATGAAGGAACAGACTAGAAGACAAGGTTCTCTGTTTATTGGGCTAAACGGGGCAGTAAATTGTGGCTTGTACCTCGCTTCTTAGATCTGCTTCTGGAATAAGCAGTTTATTGACAGTTATCACCACATTGGCAGAGGTTTTGCAAAAATGAAGGGCTCAATCTTTCAGTAAACGCTTTCTTAATTTTTAATCTGACATAGAAAGTTGAAGAAGTAATCTAAAAAATAGAAGGTTTGAGGAATAGTGGTTCTTCCTAGAGACCATAAAGAGCCACAACACAAATGATAGTGAAAAACGGGTTTCAATTTCCATTGAAAATACTCTAAGATACACAGGTTTGAGAATTATATTTTTCTAATTGTAACATTTTGAATTTCATTTCAATGCTGCTGTCCTAAGACAAGTATGAGAAATTAATCCTAGGTCTCCACACCTTAAGATACACTGTGTAAGGCCAGGCATGGTGGCTCACGCCTGTAATCCCAGCACTTTGGGAGGCCGAGGCAGGAGGATCACCTGAGGTCACAAGTTCGACGTCAGCCTGGCCAACATGGTGAAACCCCACCTCTACTAAAAATACAAAAATCACCCGGGCATGGTGGCAGACGCCTGTAATCCCAGCTACTGCGGAGGCTGAGGCAAGAGAATCCCTTGAACCCGAGAGGCGGAGGTTGCAGTGGGCCGAGATCGCGCCATTGCACTCCAGCCTGGGTGACAGAACAAGACAAAAAAAAAAAAAGATACACTGGGTAATCACTAACCCATTATTCCTTGTGGCGTTACGAGGTCGGACCAATCCTTGATATCCTCAAATTTCACCTTAATGAGGCTGACACCTTTCAGCTTATCGACTGGCAACTCCTTTAGGTATTCTAGACGGCTAAAGAAGAACATTTTTGGCACAGCTCCAGCCTTGAGAGCGTCTGAAATGAGCCTGCGACCTTCCAGCAGGATCTTCCCTTGTTTTTCCCGAAATGGCCTGGACTTTACTATTGTCATTACACTGCTGTAGATGGAAATAAAAAAAAAAAACAGGTAACTATCAACATCCTTGTTACTGAGACACGCTTAGTTGTAACAGAAATAAAGAGCTACGGAGAGGGCCGGGCGCGGTGGCTCACGCCTGTAATCCCAGCACATTGGGAGGCCGAGGCGGGCGGATCACCTGAGGTCAGGAGTTCCAGATCAGCCTGGCTAACATGGTGAAACAAAAACAACAACAAAGAGCTAAGGAGAAACAGAAGCTAATTCCAAAGACGCTTATTCGGCCCTCTGTGCATAATACAAAAACCAGCGGGCTGTACTGGAAGAAGTCCTCCATCGGAAGGAGGTTAAGGTTCCGCTGTGCGACGGGAAGGGAAACGAGAACATTCGACAGGCTCAAGAACCACATCACCTCAGCCTCCTGTCCCCGGGATAAGCTTTATCGTAGCGAAGCCCAGACTCTTCCCAGGTGCTGGGAGCGCGGGATGCGGACTCCTCGAGCGGTTGTTTCTCTCGTTGCTCCTGGGCACTGGCCTCAGATGGTGCCTTGCGGGGCTGCTTCCCAGGAGCGCGCTTCTGTTCCACCACCTCTCCGGAAGGAAACACCACTTTCACTGGGCTCCGCCGCAGCGCCCGGACCCAGCGCCTCGCGTCAAGGTCCCAAGCCTGGACCACCTGCAGCAACGGTCGCACGACAAACCTCGCGGGTCTCACCAGCGCCGCCATGTTCCCTGAGACCCGGGCTGCGTCACGAAAGCGCGCCGTCGGCGGCTAGTGACGTCACGGCCCGTGGCGCCCTTCGTGGACTGGGCTGTACGGTGCGCGTGACGGCTGCGTGCGGCGGGAATCATGGCTGCTCGCAGAGCTCTGCACTTCGTATTCAAAGTGGGAAACCGCTTCCAGACGGCGCGTTTCTATCGGGACGTCCTGGGGATGAAGGTGCAGGCCGGGGCCGACAGGGGCTGGCGCGCGAGGCTGGAACCGGCGCCCGAGCCGGCCCTGGCGGAGGGAGGGGAAAATGGGTGTGTCGTGAACCTAAGCCGGAGGGTGTCCGACCTTAGGCCCTGCGCGGTGTTCAGCTTCAGGAGCGTGGCGAGTTGCCGTTGGGGATCATAGGCCTTGGAGAAGGGCCTAACACGATTAGTCCCCGCGGTGTGCCCACGCACGTCCTTTCATTTAAGCCACTCGTAAACGTTTATTGAGCCCCGCCCTTGTGGAGCTTACCGTCTACCGGAAAAGACGGTAAATAAAATGTTATATAATGCTTTCTAGTTAATATTTGTGTTTTCCGGTTTGGAGCCTTTGATGTAGATAAAATCAGCGTATTCAGAGTTCTGCTTCTAGCAAGGCTGGTCTGAATAGTCCGTTTCGGATACTCAGTCTCTGAATATATGCTCCAACTCTCAACCCATCTGCTTTTCAACAGCACCCAGAAGCGGTCTGTCTCGGGTCCTGAGGAGCTGTTATTTGCAGGATTCAGTTGGTTGGGGAACTGGGTTTTGGGGACCTCCTTTGATAAGCCAGGGAGGTAGGGAACACACCACTAAGGAAGACTTGAAAGGTGCAAGAGCGCGGTTTAGTGTATAGACGGTGCAATAGACGGGGATCTGAATTCGTCAGGTCATTTTTAAAATATCTGCTATTTTCAGGGTACTACGTTGAGTTTTGGCAACAAAGGTGCAAATGACCCTGATATATATCCTCCATTAGAGCTCATGGCCTGGGTTGGGGTGGGAGTTGGAACTGGATTTGTACGTAGATGATGGTAATGGAAGTCAGAATTTGATAGTGAAAAACCACCAAACTTTCGATAGCAGAAACCACAGAGCTGTCCCTTGTTAGTATTTCCTCGTCGATCAAAAGGTTGTTGCAAAGATTAAACACGTGCCGGCGCGGTGGCCCACGCCTGTAATCTCAGCACTTTGGGAGGCCAAGGCGGGTGGATCACTGGAGGTCAGGAGTTGGACACCAGCCTGGCCAACATGGTGAAACCCTGTCTCTACTAAAAATACAAAAATTAGCCGGGCATGGTGGCACACGCCTGTAATCCCAGCTACTCGGGAGGCTGAGGCAAGAGAATCGCCTGTATCTGGGAGGCGGAGGTTGCAGTGAGCCGAGATCGCACCATTGTGTTCCAGCCTGGATGACGAAAGCAAAACTCCGTCTCAAAAAAAAAAAAAAAAAAAAGATTCAACACCTTATTATATGTATAGTATTTAACATATCGGTAATAGTAGATTATATAAGTGTTAGCCACTATTATAAAAATACAAAAGAAGGAGCGGTTTTCCAACCTGGGTGATGAGGAAATAATTCATGTAGACCTTGTATTCGAGTTGACTTTTTTTTTTTTTTTTTTTTTTGAGGTGGAGTCTTGCTCTGTCGCCAGGCTGGAGTGCAGTGGCGCGATCTCGGCTCACTGTAAGCTCAGCCTCCCGGGTTCACACCATTCTCCTGCCTCAGCCTCCCGAGTAGCTGGGACCACAGGCGCGTACCACAACACCCGGCTAATTTTTAAAAATATTTTTAGTAGAGACGGGGTTTCACCGTGTTAGCCAGGATTCGAGTTGACGTCTAAAGATAGGATATCCACAGGTAGATGAGAGGAGGAGCTACATAGTAAAACTGAAGAGCCAGTGCGGAGATGGCACATGTTTGCGAAGCCGCTGGTTTTATGTGCCTTTAGTTGAGGTTGCTTAGTTGAAGTTAAGGAGATGGGATATCAGGATGGACAGGTCGGCATTGCTTCTAATAGTATCTTGAATGCTATGCTAAAGAATTTGGATTTTATGCTGCAGTAAGATGGGAGCTCACTTATGTTCTTAAACAGGGTGGTGATGGGATCAGTGCTTTGTGCTTTAGGCATGTGCTTTTTTGGTGTTATTAAGGAAGGATATCAATAAGGATTTTTTTATTTTTTATTTTTTATTTTTTTTATGTTGAGACGGAGTCTCGCTCTTTCGCCCAGGCTGGAGTGCAGTGGCGCAATCTCGGCTCACTGCAAGCTCCGCCTCCTGGGTTCACACCATTCTCCTGCCTCAGCCTCCCGAGTAGCTGGTACTACAGGCGCCCGCCACCACGCCCTGCTTATTTTTTGTATTTTTAGTAGAGATGGGGTTTTACTGTGTTAGCCAGGATGGTCTCGATCTCCTGACCTCATGATCCACCCACCTCGGCCTCCCAAAGTGCTGGGATTACAGGCGTGAGCCACCGCGCCCGGCCAATAAGGATGATTTTTAATAGTCTGAGCGAAGCGTTGGGAACTTCAACTGGCAGGAGCCGTGGGAATCAAAAAGGAGGGCTAAAGCTAACACGTTGAGAGCCCGCTGTGTGCAGGGTTCTGTGAGATGCTTTCATAACATCCATTCCCATCACATGTTAGGAGACTGAGACTCAGATTCTAATTTGCTCAGAGTTACACAACTACTAAATGACAGAATTCCAAATCAGACTTTTTTTTTTTTTTGAGTTTGAGTTTTGCTCTTGTCACCCAGGCTGGAGTGTAATGGTGCAATCTCAGCTCATTGCAACCTCTGCCTCCCGTGTTCAAGCAATTCTCCTACCTCAGCCTCCTGAGTAGCTGGGATTACAAGCGCCCACCACCATGCCTGGCTAATTTTGTATTTTTTATATTTTTAGTAGAGATGGGGTTTCACTGTGTTGGCTAGGCTGGTCTCGAACTCCCGACCTCAGGTGATCTGCCCACCTCAGCCTCCCAAAGTGCTGGGATTACAGGCGTGAGCCACGATGCCCATCTTTTTTTTTTTTTTTTTTTTTTTTTTTTTAATTTGAGATGGAATTTTGCTCTTGTCACCCAGGCTGTAGTGCAGGGGCACGATCTCGGCTCACTGCAACCTCCATCTCATGGTCCAAGTGATTCTCCTGCCTCAACCTCCTGAGTAGCTGGGATCACAAGCACACGCCACCACGCCTGGCTAATTTTTGTATTTTTAGTTGAGACGGGGTTTCACTATGTTTGCCAGGTTGATCTTGAACTCCTGACCTCAGGCAGTCCACCCACCTTGATCTCCCAAAGTGCTGGTATTATAGGCGTGAGTCACTGTGCCCGGCCCAAATCAGACTTCTTTAATGCTGAAGGCCACACTTTTTCCCACTGCATAGCACTGCTTACCAATCTAAATAGATTTCACAACTGATTTGGTAGCCTGACCCTTGGTGTCAAGCTGTTCGTCCTTCCACTGCTTCTATCCTGGGAGAAGTGTAAAGCTCATTTGCTTTTGTTCTTTTACAAGTAAAGCTTATAAATGATAATGTTTGTGTTTTGACATTTTAGTCTGTGCTAAAGACGCTGTGAGCAGTACTAGCAACACTTCACAATTTATTCTAAATCTCACACCAGGTTCTGCGGCATGAGGAATTTGAAGAAGGCTGCAAAGCTGCCTGTAATGGGTATGATACCTTGTTTCTTAAAATCTCCTTTAGGCTCTGACTACACCCGGATAACAGAAGACAGTTTCTCAAAGTGAGTATAAAGCAGTGGAATTAATTAAGGAGGCAGTAAATTAGGGAGGCAACTTCAGGAGCGTCGGGAACACATACTGTTTCTCTGCACTCTCATGAGTATAAAGCAGTGGAATTAATTAAGAAGGCAGTAAATTAGGGAGGCAACTTCAGGAGCGTCGGGAACACATTTCTCTGCACTCTCATACAACACCTGTGGGACACAAAGGGATTCTCCAGCTCTCTAACACCAGCCGGCTGTCCTGTTATTTAATTGATTCTGACTCTACCTGGAGTTAATGTCAGATCCTGCAAGTTAAGGGCTCAGTCCCAGAAGATTTTCCGCCACGTCAGGCGCCGGTCACAGTCTGGATCTTCAGGATTTCCGATGACCAACTACAAGTCAGGGCTCCCGCTCCTGCTTCCTTGGGTTTGATAGTCTGCTACAGTGGCTCATGGAACTAAGGGAAACGCTGGAAACACTTACTTACATTTACTGGTTTATCATAAAGAGTACGAGTCAGAAATGGCTGGACAGAGGAGATACACAGGGCAGGGCATGGGGAGTGGGTGGCAGAGCTTCCATGCTCTTCTGGGCAGGCTCCAATCCAGCACCTCCCTACGTTCAGCATCCCAGAAGCTCATGAGTCTCATTGTTCAAGCCTAATAGAGCCCAGTCTCCATCCCTTTCCTTCCCAGAGGTTGGTGGATGGGACTGAAAGTTCAGTCCTCTAATCATTTGTCTTTCTGGTGACCAGCCCCATCCTGAGTCTATGTAGAGGCCCCACTCTAAGTCACTTCATTAGCATAAACTCAGGTGTGACTGAAAGGGGCTCATTATGAATATAACAAAAGATATTCCTATCAGGAAATTCCAGAGGTTTTGGGAGCTCTGAGACAGGAACCAGGGACAATGACCAGATATGTTTCATATTATGCCACAAATGCAAATAAGTACATGCTCTAGATGAAGCAGCGGCTTTCCAGTATCTTTTTTTTTTTGAGACAGAATCTCACTTTGTCACCCAGGTGGGAGTGCGGGGTCATTATCCTGGCTCACTGCAACCTCTGTCTTCTGAGTTCAAGCAATTCTCCTCCCTCAGCCTCCCTAGTACGTGGGACTATGGGCATGTGCCACCATGCCCAGCTAATTTTTGTATTTTTAGTAGAGACGGGGTTTCACCATGTTGGCCAGGCTGGTCTCGAACTCCTGACCTCAGGTGATCCTCCCGCCTCGGCCTCCCAAAGTGCTGGGATTACAGGCCTGAGCCACCACGCCCGTCCATCTCTTAAGCTTAGTACCGTGACAAGTTGGAACAGTCCAAGGCCTATTAGGAATTTCATGCTTGTTGATTGATAGTCAAGGAAATAACAGGTCAGTTGGAGAACTGTCTTTAGGATTCTGTTCCTTGCTTTACAGAAAAGGTGAACAAATCTTTCCTTCAGGTAGATGCTGGATAGTCTTTGGAGCTTGTAGTAGGGTCCCATGAGCACTGCCCACAGCTGCTTTCTGTACCATCTGAGGTCATCTCATCCTTAAGAGAACTTTTAGGACCAGACAGGAATGCTCATCTCTCTGTGCCCAGTAGTTCTCTGGGGGTGGCCTGAGGCTGACTTGTCTGTAGTCACTGAGTTCATTTACTTTTATTTTCTAGGCCTTATGATGGGAAATGGAGTAAAACAATGGTGGGATTTGGGCCTGAGGATGATCATTTTGTCGCAGAACTGACTTACAATTATGGCGTCGGAGACTACAAGCTTGGCAATGACTTTATGGTAAATACCGTTTTTTTCTAGCAGAGTTTTGGCTGGGGGTAGGTGGCTGGTTGTAAATTTGAGTAGAGTGCCAAGGGTGTGTGTGAGTGAAGAGATAACATTTGAGCAGAGACTCAAAAGAGGTCAGGGAGTTAGCCACGTGGATATCTGGGGGATGCGCGTTCCAGGCAGAGAATATTCTGGCAAGAGCCGTCAGGTAACATCTGGCGTGTTCGAGGAGGTGTAAGGAAGCCAGTGTGGCTGGAATAGAGAACGAGAGGGGAGCGTGGTAAGAGATGGGGTCGGCAGTGCCATGGGGTAAGACTGCAGGGGGCCTCCTAGGCCGTAAGTCACCGAGTGAAATGAGCCATTGGCGGACTTTGAGCAAAGGGAAAACAAGGCTGGCTGCAGTCTGGGGGTGGACTATAGGATGCGTTTTGGAAAGTTTACTTTGGCTGCAGAGTGGGTAATGGATTTACAAGACTGGAGGCAGAGAGGCCATTATAATAAACCGAGCCAGAAACAAGGCTGGTCTTCTCAAAGCACACGTGTACATTTCTAGGCACTTTGATTAAATGTAAGGAAACCTTGATAGTTTGCTTATTTTTGTTTTGTTTGTTAAAAAAGCAAGAACAGGTCACCTTAAATAGGTAGCTAGCTGGCAGACCCAGGTAACATCAAGATTTCTGTGGCTAGATCTTTAGAATTAGAAGACGTTATCTTTGGTGTTAAATGAATCAGACTTCACTGGCATTTCAATTTCTGTCCTATTATTCACAAAGGTCTGAATGTTTGTGGGATAAAACATTGAAAACCTGTTTTTAAATCACTAGAAGAAAATGTTGGATGCCAGTTAAATCTTAGGTGATTTTACCTAAAGGCAGTAGGCAATAGGGGTTGGGCTCATTGTCTTGTTCTGTAAAATATCTGTTGTGATCATGTACTTGGATGTACTGTTGTTTGTTGTAGGGAATCACGCTCGCTTCTAGCCAGGCTGTCAGCAACGCCAGGAAGCTGGAGTGGCCACTGACGGAAGTTGCAGAAGGTGTTTTTGAAACCGAGGCCCCGGGAGGATATAAGTTCTATTTGCAGAATCGCAGTCTGCCTCAGTCAGGTAATTATACCAGAACCAGTAAAAGCCTCTGTCTAAAGGCATCTTTGGTGAAAGGAGAGTGAGGGCTGCCTGTCTTTTTTTTGTAGAGTCTGTGTTCACGTGACGTGTCTTCCCCAGCCAGTGCTTTTACCTGTTATCGGAGAGACTACATTCTCATATCAGAACTTAAATACATAGCAGTAGGGGATCTAGACTAGTTCTGTTCTACTGGTAATGTAGTGATTTATGATTCTTTCATCTGTAAATAACAGAAAACCCAACTACTTTGAACAGTTATAGAATCTTTTAGCTCACAGAGCAGGCATTCTATAGGTGGGAAAGATTTCAAGGTTAGATGATTCACCAGCTCCCCACATTTTCTCTTTCTACGTTCTGTTGTTCTCTGCGGGTACCTCTCCTAGAACTAGTCCCCTCAAGGTTGCAGGAGAGCTGCCAGGAGCAGGTGGGGCCACATGCTCCCACAATCCCATCTGGTAGGAGAGGAGATGCTGACTTCTTTTTGCTTTTTTTTTTTGAGACTCTGTCAGTCCGGCTGGAGTGTACTGGCATGATCTCTGCTCACTGCAACCTCTGCCTCCCGGGTTCAAGCAATTCTCCTTCCTCAGCCTCCCAAGTAGCTGGGATTATAGGCGCCTGCCACCACGCTCAGCTTTTTTTTTTTTTTTTTTAGTATTTTTATTAACTTTTAAAAATTATTTGTTTTTTGAGACGGAGTCTTGCTCTGTCGCCCAGGCTAGAGTGCAGTGCTGCAATCTCGGCTCACTTGCAACCTCCGCCTCCCAGGTTCAAGTGATTCTCCTGCCTCAGCCTCTCCAGTAGCTGAGATTACAGGCACATGCCACCACGCCCAGCTCATTTTTGTATTTTTAGTAGAGACAGGGTTTCACTATATTGTCCAGGCTGGTCTTGAACTTCTGACCTCACTTGATCCGCCTGCCTCAGCCTCCCAAAGTGCTGGGGTGACAGGCGTGAACCACCGTGCCCGGCCCTTTTTGCTTTCTTTTTAGGAGCAGAAGAAAAACTTTCCTAGAATCTTCCAGCAAACTTCCTGTTCAGATTTGATATACTGTGCCTGCTCCTAAACCAATCACTGGCAAGAGAAATAGGATCACCCCCAAACCATTTAGCCATGCCTCCTCTGGAGCCGAGGTCAGTTTCCCAGACTTGAGCGTGGGTACTCAGGGATGGCATGGAAGTGAGGAGCCCCCACGCTGACTGCCACACAGAACAAGAAGGAAACTTTGCAGGGTTTGTTTTGTTGACTGCAGAGGCAGCCTCATCAGTGTTTCATTTTGTATTTAATGCCTGCAAATTCAGCTACCTGCTCTGACAAAACAAAAGCAAAAACGGGGAAAATGCTGGCGAATGGCAAGGGCACTTGTGCCGACTCCCTTACTTGGTGAACGTATGCCTGCAAGTGGGCCTGAGAAGGGAGTCCTGGAAATTCTCCTTCTTCACTGGTCGGCCTCCTGTCCCCGATGCCCCCATGCTGAGTCTGTAGAATGTTCAGTGCTCCTTGTTTATCATCCGGTGCTCAGCAAAAGAAAGATCCGTCTGTTCCAGTGTGGGAGGCTAGACTTGGCTGTGTGGGACTCGTGGAGAGATGGTGTTTCTCTGCCTCACTGGTGATTTAAAGGGTGTTGATGGTGTTTTTTTGTTGATAGGTGATTGATCCTTTGCTGACTTTAAAACTTAACGCTTGCAGCTAGCTCCACCATCCATTTTTTCTCTCCAGCCTTAGTGATATTTCAGTGCTTAAAATAATAGAGAGCCCCATGGTGCTAAGAAGCTTTTGTTCTTTGGAATGGAAATCCCCTTGGGCATTTCTGGTTGACAATGTGGTCAGACCTTCTGTCCGGCTGGCATTCATCTTTCCTTTGAATTACCCACTTCTGTGCAGCTTCACCCACGCGTTAACTTCCTGTCCTGCGTCCCTTCAGGCTCCAAGTCAACTGGGATTTGTTGATTTTGAAGTAAATGGAAAGAAAAAAATGGAGCCTGCCAGGCGGAGGCACTTGTGAGAAACAGCGTCTTAATCCCAATATTGCTGTTCTAGCAAACAGGACTAAGGCAGTAAAGCCAAAGAAAAATGTACTGAATTTATCGTAGTCAGATGGAGACGTGGAACAGCTCTTTAGAAAGTCACTTTACAATGTGAAAAGTTTCCAGTAACAGTAGGTGTTTCAATATGACTTTTATTCTTTTTACAAAATAATCAAGTTTTTTCCTTAGACAAGCAGAGAAGCTGAAAAAAAACACACACACCCATGTACCCAGAGAGAACCACTGCTGACATTTTAGAGTATATCTTTCCAATCTTTTGTCAAAAATACGTATATATAATTAAGTGTATACATTTCTGTATATCCTTTTTTAGGAGTTCCATCGTATTATTACATTGTAGGAAGAGAAACAATTCTCTATTGTTGGATATTTATGTCGTTCCTAGTGTTTTATTGTTCTAAGCAACACTGGTGAATGTCTTTGTCGTAAAAGCCCTTCATACATCCACAATTACCTTTGGAGTGGCTGAAAATGGACTTGTTCTTTCAAAAGCAATGAGCACTTTTTAAAGCTTTTGGTACATTCCATCAAACTATTGCCCAGAAATGTACTGATTTACACTTGTATTACATGATTGTGATTTTCCCCTCTACACTAACACAGTTAACACTGCCAACTTTTAACATTATTTGCACATTAGTTAACAAAGGATTTTATGTGAATTCTAATTTCTTTGTTGTTTGGGGGCGTCGGGTTGAAATTTTTTTTTTTTTTTTGAGACAGAGTCTCGCTCTGTCGCCCAGGCTAGAGTGCAGTGGCGCGCTCTGGGCTCACTGCAAGCTCCGCCTCCCGGGTTCACGCCATTCTCCTGCCTCAGCCTCCTGAGTAGCTGGGACCACAGGCGCCCGCCAGCACGCCCGGCTAATTTTTTGTATTTTTAGTAGAGACGGGGTTTCACCGTGTTAGCCAGGATGGTCTCTATCTCCTGACCTCATGATCCTGCCACCTCAGCCTCCCAAAGTGCTGGGATTACAGGCGTGAGCCACCGCGCCCGGCCTGAATATTTTTTCGTATGTTATTTGACCATTCTAATTCCTTGTTTTGTGGATTATTGCTTTGTGCCTTTTGCCTATTTTTCTAGCATGTTCATTCTTTTCCTATTGATATTTACAGGTGATTTACATATTAAGGACTTTTTGTCCAATATATTGCAGTTGTTCCCCCTACTGTGTTGTATACTCTAGTTTTGATTGTAATTCCTTTTCTTGGTTGTTGTCTAGGAGTTTTCCATTTTGTGTAATTTATGTAGCAGAAGTTTTTTCTTCATAGTTTTTCTATCTTTGGTGTCAGGTTTAAAGAAAAATCTTCCTCTACTCCAAAATTGTATAAATAATCATCTGTATCTAGTATTTTCATGGTTTCATTCTCTAAACTTATTTTTTTAACCCATCAGGAATGTATTTTGTCATTTATTTCGAAGATGTAAGTTTTTCTTACCAAATGATTAGCCAGTCTTCTTAGCGCCGTCCATTGAATAATGAGGCTTTTCATACTGTCTTTGTTTTTTTTTTTTTTTTTTTTTTCGAGATAGGGTCTCACTGTCACCCAGGCTGGAGTGCAGTAGTGCAGTCTTGGCTCACTGCAGCCTCAACCTCCCGGGCTCAAGCGATCCTCCTGCTTCCATCTCTGAAGTGGCTGGGAATACACACATGAGCCACCACGCCTGTCTAATCTTTTTTTTTTTTTTTTTTTTTTTTGAGACAGAGTTTTGCTCTTGTCTCCCAGGCTAGAGTGCAACGGCGCCATCTCGGCTCACTGCAACCTCCGCCTCCCAGGTTCAAGCAATTCTCCTGTCTCAGCCTCCCGAGTAGCTGGGATTACAGGCGTGCGCCACCACGCCCAGCTAATTTTTTTTATTTTTTATTTTTAGTAGAGACAGGGTTTTGCCATGTTGGCCAGGCTGGTCTCAAACTCCTGACCTCAGGTAATCCACTTGCCTTGGCCTCCCAAAGTGCTGGGATTACAGGCATCAGCCACCACACCCAGCCAATTTTTTTAAAGTTTTCATACAGGCAAGGTCTCAGTGTTTTACCTGCATTGGTCTTGAATTCCTAGGCTCACGCAATCCTCCTACCTCAGTCTCCCAAAGTGCTGGCATTACAGGCATGGGCCGCTGCACCCAGCTTCATACTGGCTTAAAATCCCTTTCTTATCATAAACTGAATTTGTAAGTATACATGCGCATGTTTTGGTCTTTCTATTTTATTCTATTAAATTGATCTGTCTATTCCTGCTTTATTACCCAACAGATCCTGTATTAAAAGTAACTCTAGCAGTGTCTGATCTTCAAAAGTCCTTGAACTACTGGTGTAATCTACTGGGAATGAAAATTTATGAAAAAGATGAAGAAAAGCAAAGGGCTTTGCTGGGCTATGCTGATAACCAGGTGAGCAATCTTGGAGAAGAATAACCTGTTACTTTGAATTTGGCTTGTAAACGAAGCTTATAAATGGCTTATAACCTTTATAAATGAAGTTAACATGAAGGTTGTTCCCATAGTTTCTTCACAGTGATTCAATATTTATATAGATAAACAGAAGAAAATAAGTGATAACCTTACCACCCAGATATTACCTTGTTTATATTTGGGGATATATCTCTTCAGAAGTGGAATTGCTTAATCCAAGAGATTGAATGGATTTAATGCAAGATCTTTTTCATCTTCTTTTTCTAATAACCCAGCGTTTGAGCACGATTTAGTCCTTGCACTTTGACCCTGCAATTCTACTCCTAGGAATTATTTTACAGATGTGCTCAACATACATCGGCACAAAGAAGTGTGTGCAAGGTTATCTGCTGCAGCATTGTCTGTAATCACAATGTGTAAGAATTTCAGTGTCCTATAGATTAGAGACATATTTCAGTAATTTACGGCTCATTCATGGAATGGATTACTATGTCGCTAGCAAAAAGATTGAGGCAAATCTTTATGTATTGACATGGTAACATTAAGTGGAGAAAAACAAGGAACAGAATAATTTGTAAATTATACCACCATTTGTGTAAAAAAAAAAACATAGATGCGTGCAGTGCTTCTAGAAGGATACACAGGAAAGTGTGGACTAGTTGTCTCTGGGGTGAGAGTAGGATAGAGACTCAGTTTTTACTTTATTCCTTTAGTATATAATATTTGAATTTTTCTACCACATACGTGTAATGAATGTATAACCTGTTCCAAAAAATAACCCCCTTTCCTATTTCAGTGTAAGCTGGAGCTACAGGGCGTCAAGGGTGGGGTGGACCATGCAGCAGCTTTTGGAAGAATTGCCTTCTCTTGCCCCCAGAAAGAGGTAACGCTTGATACCAGATCGTTTGAGCTTTCTGACTAGCTAGTTCAACCCAGCTAAGAACTTTGTCCTTCCCTTCTTGAGGTCCTTTTTGATTGTGGCTTTAGTATCAAGTTCAGCAGTTGTTTCAAGAGCAGCTGAGATAATAAATTCAAACAAATGGCGCCTTGGTTCTTTATGGTATCTGATACTCCTCTAGGACTGACGAGGGCCGTGTCCTGAGTAGTGTGTGACCCCTGGCTCACGTTGCCTCTGTTTTCCTCAAGTTGCCAGACTTAGAAGACTTGATGAAAAGGGAGAACCAGAAGATTCTGACTCCCCTGGTGAGCCTGGACACCCCAGGGAAAGCAACAGTACAGGTGGTCATTCTGGCCGACCCTGTAAGTATTTCTCAGGCAGGGGGCAGGCTGGACCAGGGGTTTCTTCAAGGATGTCTTTGGCAGGTGTCTTTTCTCTTTATTGGTGTAGGACGGACATGAAATTTGCTTTGTCGGGGATGAAGCATTTCGAGAACTTTCTAAGATGGATCCAGAGGGAAGCAAATTGTTGGATGATGTGAGTCCCATTTCTACATTTATGTCACCATGGGCCTGAGAGGGATGGCATTAAGTGTGTGTGGGAGGAGACTAAGCAACAGGGTCCAGGTTCTTAATGTCAGAACCACGTCCTTTCGCTGTTGGGTTGACCTCAGCCAAGGACCGATGTCTTCACTGCCACCTGTGTAGACTGCTTGTCTAGACTTAGCATTTGTGCCTTACCACAACCTCAGGCTGCCCTGGAACCACTGCTGGTGGATCTGTGCTTATTCTGCTCTCCACATGGAGATGCCTCTATCCGACCCCCTCAGCTCTCCCCATGGAGATGCCTCCATCCGACCCCCTCAGCTCTCCCCATGGAGATGCCTCCATCCGACCCCCTCAGCTCTCTGCATGGAGATGCCTCCATCTGACCCCCTCAGCTCTCCCCATGGAGATGCCTCTATCCGTTCCCCTCAGCTCTCGCCAGGGAGATGCCTCCATCCGACCCCCTCAGCTCTCCCCATGGAGATGCCTCCATCCGTTCCCCTCAGCTCTCCGCATGGAGATGCCTCCATCCCATCCCCTCAGCTCTTGCCATGGAGATGCCTCCATCCGTTCCCCTCAGCTCTCCCCATGGAGATGCCTCCATCCCATCCCCTCAGCTCTCCCCGTGGAGATGCCTCCATCTGACCCCCTCAGCTCTCCCCATGGAGATGCCTCCATCCGTTCCCCTCAGCTCTCCCCAGGGAGATGCCTCCATCTGATCCCCTCAGCTCTGCAGCTCCTTTGATCATCTCTTCTCCATTCTGCAGCATCAGTCTCTTCTTTCCAGTGAGTTATTCTCGCCAGCGTGCAAACAGGCGCTGAAAGCTCCCATCCTTTAAAAACCTTTTACTGACCCCATATCTCCTCTCCAGATTTCTCCTTCTAAAAATCTGAGTGCGCACTGTTTCTCTCTCTCACATCCTCTCCAGATTTCTTCTTCTAAAAATCTGAGTGCGCGCTGTTTCTCTCTCTCACATCCTCTCCAGATTTCTTCTAAAAATCTGAGTGCGCGCTGTTTCTCTCTCTCACGTCCTCTCCAGATTTCTTCTTCTAAAAATCTGAGTGCGCGCTGTTTCTCTCTCTCACATCCTCTCCAGATTTCTTCTAAAAATCTGAGTGCGCGCTGTTTCTCTCTCTCACGTCCTCTCCAGATTTCTTCCTCTAAAAATCTGAGTGCGCGCTGTTTCTCCCTCTCACGTCCTCTCCAGATTTCTTCTTCTAAAAATCTGAGTGCGCGCTGTTTCTCTCTCTCACGTCCTCTCCAGACTTCTTCTTCTAAAAATCTGAGTGCGCGCTGTTTCTCTCTCTCACGTCCTCTCCAGATTTCTTCTAAAAATCTGAGTGCGCGCTGTTTCTCTCTCTCACGTCCTCTCCAGATTTCTTCTAAAAATCTGAGTGCGCGCTGTTTCTCCCTCTTATGTCCTCTCCAGATTTCTTCTAAAAATCTGAGCGCGCGCTGTTTCTCTCTCTTACGTCCTCTCCAGATTTCTTCTTCTAAAAATCTGAGTGCGCGCTGTTTCTCTCTCTCACGTCCTCTTCAGATTTCTTCTTCTAAAAATCTGAGTGCGCCCTGTTTCTCTCTCTCACATCCTCTCCAGATTTCTTCTAAAAATCTGAGTGCGCGCTGTTTCTCTCTCACACATCCTCTCCAGATTTCTTCTTCTAAAAATCTGAGTGTGCGCCGTTTCTCTCTCTCACGTCCTCTCCAGATTTCTTCTAAAAATCTGAGTGCACGCTGTTTCTCTCTCACACATCCTCTCCAGATTTCTTCTTCTAAAAATCTGAGTGCGCGCTGTTTCTCTCTCTCACGTCCTCTCCAGATTTCTTCTTCTAAAAATCTGAGTGCGCGCTGTTTCTCTCTCTCACGTCCTCTCCAGATTTCTTCTAAAAATCTGAGTGCGCGCTGTTTCTCTCTCTTACGTCCTCTCCAGATTTTTTCTAAAAATCTGAGTGCGCGCTGTTTCTCTCTCTTACGTCCTCTCCAGATTTCTTCTTCTAAAAATCTGAGTGCGCGCTGTTTCTCTCTCACATACTCTCCAGATTTCTTCTAAAAATCTGAGTGCGCGCTGTTTCTCTCTCTCACATCCTCTCCAGATTTCTTCTAAAAATCTGAGTGCGCGCTGTTTCCCTCTCTTACGTCCTCTCCAGATTTCTTCTTCTAAAAATCTGAATGCGCGCTGTTTCTCTCTCTCACGTCCTCTCCAGATTTCTTCTTCTAAAAATCTGAGTGCGTGCTGTTTCTCTCTCTCACGTCCTCTCTAGATTTCTTCTTCTAAAAATCTGAGTGTGCGCTGTTTCTCTCTCTTACGTCCTCTCCAGATTTCTTCTCTAAAAATCTGAGTGCGCGCTGTTTCTCCCTCTTACGTCCTCTCCAGATTTCTTCTTCTAAAAATCTGAGTGTGCACTGTTTCTCTTTCTCGCCTCCCATTTTCACTTCAGTCTGTTTTGCACTGGCTCTTGTTACTCAGTGAAGTGCTTTTGTTTCTTGCCAAATATAGCAACTACTTTTAGATTCTCATCAAACTCAGTAATTCAGAAGCATTCAAAGTAGTTGTTGGATCCTAGCTCCTAGCACATACCTGGCATGTACTAGACGTTCTGCAAATACTTTGTTGAATGATTAAAGGAACAAATTGGTCTTTCTTGGTTCTGTCACGTAACTCTGTGACTGACCTTAAACAGTTGACTTAAATTCTTTGAACTTTAGTCTTCTTATCCAAAAATTTCAGAAAATAAGAGGATCTATCTCATAAGATTGTTATGGTTTATAGAGCTTGGCAAATTACTGACATAATAGTAGATGCACAATTAACGTTAAAGCAGGCAATGTATAGAAAATACAGTCTTTATACATTTTATCCTGAAGGAAAGTAGAATCTGTCATCCTCTCAGCTGACAAATTTGCCAGACTCTTCCTCCTCGCTCTTAATTTAATTAAATTAATTACTGAATTAAATTTTTTGAGATGGAGTCTAGCTCTGTCGCCCAGGGTGGAGTGCAATGGTGCAATCTTGCCTCACTGCAACCTTCGCCTCCCAGGGTCAAGCGATTCTTCTGCCTCGGCCTCCCAAGGAGCTGGAACTACAGGCACTTGCCACCATGCTGGCTAATTTTTGTATTTTTAGTAGAGACAGGGTTTTGCCAGGTTGGCCAGGCTGGTCTCAAACTCCTAGCCTCAAGTGATCTACCCACCTCATCCTCCTAAAGTGCTGGGATTACAGGTGTGAGCCACTGTGCCTGGCCCATTTTATTTTATTTATTTTTTGAGACGGATTCTTGCTCTGTCAACTAGGCTGGAGTGCAGTGGCATAATCTTGGCTCACTGCAACCTCCACCTCCCGGGATCAAGCGATTCTCCTGCCTCAGCCTCCCAAGTAGCTGGGATTACAGGCACGTGCCACCACGCCTGGCTAATTTTTGTATTTTTAGTAGAGACGGGGCTTCACCATGTTGGCCAGGATGGTCTTGAACTCCTAACTTCAGGCGATCCGTCTGCCTTGGCCTCCCAAAGTGCTGGGATTACAGGCGTGAGCCACCACGCCTGGGCCCATTTTTTTTTTTTTAAGACGGGGTCTCTCTCTGTCACCGAGGCTGGAGTGCAGTGGCATGATCTCAGCTCACTGCAACCTCCGCCTCCTATGTTCCAGTGATCCTCCCACCTCAGCCTCCCTAGTAGCTGGAACCATAGGCGTGCGCCACCATGCCTGGCTAATTTTTGTATTTTTTCTAGAGATGGGGTTTCACCATGTTGCCCAGGCTGGTTTCAAACTTCCTGGGCTCAATCATTCGATCCATCTTGGCCTCCCAAAGTGCTGGGATTATAGATGTGAACCATTGATGAACTCCTGCTCCCTGAGCTCTCTTCTCCTCTGCTGTTAGCGATCCTGCCATTTTTCTTTTTTTTGAGTTGGGAGTCTCACTCTCTTGCCCAGGCTGGAGTGCAGTGGCGCGATCTCAGGTCACTGCAACCTCTGCCTCCCAGGTTCAAGCAGTTCTCTTGCCTCAGCCTCCTGAGTAGCTGGTAGCTGGGATTACAGGCACGCACCACCACACCTGGCTAATTTTTGTATTTTTAGTAGAGATGGGGTTTCACCATGTTGGTCAGGCTGGTTGAGTAGGCCGGGTGCGGTGGCTCACACCTGTAACCCCAGCCCTTTGGGAGGCCGAGGCGGGCGGATCACAAGGTCAGGAGATCGAGACCATCCTGGCTAACACGGTGAAACCCTGTCTCTTGAACTCCTGACCTCAGGTGATCCACCCTCCTCGGCCTCCCAAAGGGCTGGGATTATAGGCGTGAGCCACTGCGCCTGGCCATCCTACCATTTTCATCTTCCTGACAGTTTCTCCTCAGACACGGGCACCTCTTTCTGTGTCTCATCCCAAAGTGTTTTTATACCCATAGCCCTACTTTGCTGTTTTTCCCATTCTGCATTCTTCCTCCACTCTGATGAGAGCTTACCTGCGACCTCTCCTTACCTCTGCCCTGAACGTAACCATCATCCTGGCTCCAGCCTCCTCACTTCCAGTTTTTAACTCCTTCCTCAGCTCAGACAGGTGGTTGTTGTTGATGAGGCATAATTTAGGTAGAATTTAAATGTGTTTTGACGGTTGTGTTTACTCATACAACCACTACTCAGAATACAGACCATTTTCCCAGGAAGTTCCCTCATGCCCATCTCCAGTGAGTTGGCACCTTCATCTCCCAGATCAGCTGCTATTCTGACTTCTGTCACTGTAGGTGAGTTCGTTCTTGGACTTCATACAAATGGAGTCATTCAGTATTTTCTTTCCTTTTGTGCCTGGCTGCTTTTACTCACCATGGCTTTTTTTGTTTTTTGTTTTTTGTTTTTTTTTGAGACGGAGTCTCGCTCTGTCACCCAGGCTGGAGTGCAGTGGTACAATCTCTGCTCACTGCAAGCTCCGCCTCCCGGGTTCACGCCATTCTCCTGCCTCAGCCTACCGAGTAGCTGGGACTACAGGCACCTGCCACCTCGCCCGGCTAATTTTTTGTATTTTTAGTAGAGACGGGTTTCACCGTGTTAGCCAGGATGGTCTCGATCTCCTGACCTTGTGATCCACCCACCTTGGCCTCCCAAAGGGCTGGGATTACAGGTGTGAGCCACCGCGCCCGGCCTACTCAACATGGTTTTGAGATTCCACCATGTAATTGCATATCACAGCTCTTTTTTTTTTAATTGCTGACTGATACTCAATTTTATGAATATAACAATTTGCTCATTCATTCTTATAATGGTGGACATTTGGTTTATTTCTAGATTTTTTAATCTATTATAAGGAAGACTGCCATGAACATTCTAGTGTAAATCTTCTTGTAGATAGATGTTTCATTTCTCTTGAGTAAATACCTAGGAGTAGAACTGCTTTTACTGTATAAGAAAGTGTCAAACAGTCATCGAAAGTGATCGGACCATCGTTTGTCCACGAGAGGTCCAGTAGGTCTACATTCTCACCAACACTTATTTTGCTTTTTGTGGGTTTTTTAGCTATTCTAGCACATGCGAAATGGTTTCATTGGTGCAATCAAGCGATCCTTCTGCCTCAGCCACCACATAGCTAGGGCTGCAGCACTATGCCCAGCTGATGTTTTTTATGTTTGTAGAGACAGATTCTCACTGTGTTGCCCAGGCTGGCCTCCAGTGATCCTTCCAGCTCGGCCCCACAGAGGTTTAATTTTTATTTCCCTGATGACTAATGATATTGAGCACCTTCTCATGTGCTTATTAGCCATTTACTTATTTTTGTGAATTTTATGTTCAAGTCTTTTGTCCATTCTTTAATAATTTTTAATATTTCATGATGAAAATTCCAAATATGCACAACCGAAGAGAGTACGACAGAGCCTTACGTGACTCTTACCTTGACTCTGTACTGTAGTTTTTCATCATTCCTTCGTCACTTGCAAATTCAAGTATTTTTCCCAGCCATTAATTGAGTTTTTGAAGATGAGGAATTTTTTATTTTGGTGAAGTCCAGCTTATGAACTTTTTCTCTTACATGTAGCACTTTCTCTGTCCAGACCGATGTTATATCCTGAGAACCTCTTCACCTAGGAAACCTACCACATATCAGACTCAGCGTGTCCATAACTTATCTTACCTCAAATCCATTCTTCTTCCAGTAATATTACATAAAGGCTACTTGGGAGTGTAGATTCTGGGAAACCTGAATCTATGTTCCCGGGCTGCAGTCTTCAAGCTTGGCCCAGATGAACTCTCTATTTATACTAAAAATATGTAAATAAATAAAAATAAAAAGAAATAAATGCTACTATATCGGTACGTTCTTAAGTGCTTTATTTTTATTTATTTATTTATTTTTTGAGATGGAGCCTCACTCTGTTGCCCAGGCTAGAGTGCAGTGGTGTGATCTCAGCTCACTGCAGCCTCCGCCTCCCAGGTTCAAGTGATTCTCCTGCCTCAGGAGAGTAGCTGGGATTCCCGAGTAGCTGGGATTACAGGCACCCGCCACCATGTCCAGCTAATTTTTGTATTTTTAGTAGAGACAGGGTTTCACCATTTTGGCTAGGCTGGTCTCGAACTCTTGACCTCAGGTGATCCACCTGCCTCAGCCTCCCAAAGTGCTGGGATTACAGATGTGAGCCACCGCATCCAACCTTAAGTGCTTCATATACATTCTCTGATTTTTTTTTTTTTTTTTTAGACGGAGTCTCGCTCTGTCGCCCAGGCTGGAGTGCAGTGGCGTGATCTCGGCTCACGGCAAGCTCCGCCTCCCGGGTTCACACCATTCTCCTGCCTCAGCCTCAGCCTCCCGAGTAGCTGGGACTACAGGCGCCCACCACCACACCTGGCTAATTTTTTTGTATTTTTAGTAGAGACGGGGTTTCACCGTGTTAGCCAGGATGGTCTCGATCTCCTGACCTCGTGATCCGCCTGCCTCGGCCTCCCAAAGTGTTGGGATTACAGGCGTGAGCCACCGCGCCCAGCCACATTCTCTGATTCTTAATATAACCTGCAAGGTTGATAGCATCAGCCTTTGCAAATGAGGAAACCGAGGCTAAGAATGAGTAAGTCATTGGCCCTCACCCTTGAATACCATACACTGAGTAAGTGGCAGGCAGGGGCCTGGATGGTGATGAAATTATTCCCCTTCATCCCTGAAGATCACGCACTGAGTAGGTGCAGGCCGGGGCCTGGATGGTGATGAAATTATTCCCCTTCATCCCTGAAGATCACACACTGAGTAGGTGCAGGCAGGGGCCTGGATGGTGATGAAATAATTATTCCCCTTCATCCCTGAAGATCACGCACTGAGTAGGTGCCGGCCGGGGCCTGGATGGTGATGAAATTATTCCCCTTCATCCCTGAAGATCACGCACTGAGTAGGTGCCGGCCGGGGCCTGGATGGTGATGAAATTATTCCCCTTCATCCCTGAAGATCACGCACTGAGTAGGTGCAGGCCGGGGCCTGGATGGAAGCCTTTCAGGCTTTACAGTTAGTCCTTTTTCTTCCTCTGCGCCCTGCTCCCTCCCTGGACAGTACAGCGTGTCTGTGATCCCAGTTGTTCACGCTGGAATCCTCAGAGCCAGTTTTGGTGTTATTTTGTTGTGTTTTGTTTTTTAACATTTAATAGTCGTTTTAGATTTACAGACAGTCACTTTTGACCATTATTTCTCCTCATCCTTAAATTATTTTAGCTATTAGTCACCAAGAGCTGTGAGTTCTACCTCTGAAATGTCTTCTGCCTATCAGCTTTCCCTTTGAAAGGCCTCATTGTCAACTTACGGTCTGTCCCAAAGCAAACAGCCAGTAATTTTTAAAACCGTTTAATCCGATAGCTCTCTCTTGCCTCTGAGATAAATTTCAAACTCTCTGACAGAGCATGTGACATTTTTGGACATTCTCTACCCTCTGACCTTCTTTCCCACCTGCCTCCCTAAGTCCCCTAACTCATCCCTATTCCAGTCCCACTGAACTGGTTATATTAGCTAAGATACTTCTTCTTGCATCCAACCCAAAGGGTTTTTTCCCTCTCCTCTTTTACTTGTCCTTCAACACTTAAAAGCTTTCTTAGGTTCAGCCGGGCGCGATGGCTCACCCCTGTAATCCCAGCACCTTGGGGGACCAAGGCGGGTGGCTCACCTGAGGTCAGGAGTCCCAGACCAGCCTGACCAACATGGTGAAACCCTGTCTCTACTAAACACAAAAAATTAGCCAGGCACGGTGGTGTACGCCTGTAATCCCAGCTACTTGGGAGGCTGAGGCAGGAGAATCACTTGAACCCAGAAGGCAGAGGTTGCAGTGAGCCGAGATGGCGCCGTTGCACTCCAGCCTGGGCGACAAGAGCAAAACTCCATTTCAAAAAAGAAAAAAAGCTTTCTTAGGTTCTCCAAATAATTTAGTTGTTCTTTCCTCCCACTTTTTATGGCTCCTAAAAGACAGAAACGTGCATATTTGTGACTTGTGGTTTTTTTAAGCATATCTTTGATTTTTAAATTCTTATTTTCATCAAGATAATAAATCAGATAGTACTAAGATTTTTTAGAAATGAAACGGTCCAACTCTGAGTCACACTACCTAGGACAGCCACTTTCACCTTCACTGTTTCTAAATAATAAATATATTTGTTTCTTCTTTTTCAATTGCCACCTCATCTTGTGACTTCCTGCTGAGGTAGATATTATAGCAAATGCTTCAAGACACACACATGCGTACACACACTCTGTCATGCAAAATACTTGTTTCCATATCTGAGTTCTCAGCTGTTCTGCACACTCCTCAAAGCTTCCGACTGTCTCTGCTGCCACATCTGAACCCAGCGTGGTACCTGGCTCTTTTTGACTACATAAATGAGTGTTTGTCCTTACTAAACAACGAAAGGGATGCTTGTGGAACCAAAACATTATTGTTAAGGCTTTGTATTATTCATTTATTTTTATTTGTATCTGTATGTATGTATATGAGACGGGGTCCCACTCTGTTACACAGGCTGAACTCGAATTCCTGAGCTCACGTGATCCTCTGGCCTCAGCCTCCAAGTGGCTGTGACTATAGGTGTGACCACTGGGCACGGCTTAAGGCTTCCTTTTTAATTAAGATGCCCAAACTAAACAGAACCAACATCAGAAGAGTAGGCCGGGAGGAGACTTACGAAAAAGGAATCATTCCAGGCTTCATCACTAAAACATCACGTAGAGTTTCATATTTGGCCTCACTATCAGACTGAGTTTCATGACACTAAAGATTCTTGAGCGTCTGCCCAGATGCTGTGAGTGGCAGGACTTGCTCTTTTACCAGAGATCCTACCGCCTGGCATGCGGGTCCCTGACCTCGTTGGTCCGCCAGCCACACTTCCTGGCTACAGGCTTGGTTTGCCCTTGACTCTGCCGAGTGAGGATCCACAGTTGCTCATTATCACCAGTATCTCTTGCCTTATTGAACATAACACTCTGTACTGGATTAATACTCTTTAAATGTTAAAAAATTTTTTTTATTTCTCTTCTCTTTTTTTTGGAGCGGGGGTTTGGGTCCTTTTTTTAATGTTAATTTTTTTTATTGTGGTCAGTACAGTGAGATATAAAGTGGGCTATGTCTTTTGTTTTTCAGGCTTGGAGTCAGTGTATATTCTATTTCTATTTTACAGGCAATGGCAGCAGATAAAAGTGACGAGTGGTTTGCCAAACACAATAAACCCAAAGCTTCAGGTTAACGGAAGACATGATGCAGAGCAAGCCTCTGTGATTCCTGCCCAGCACCTGTGAGGCCTGACGTGTCAGTTCCCAATAAATGCTCTTCTGATTTGTTTCCCGTACAGGCAAGGAGGCTTGGGTAGTGCAGATTTGTGTATTTCAATCTTTGAAAGCTCTGATGTAATTTAGAAATGAAATCCAATCATGAGTCCAGGTAGAGAACGCCTGCTGTAATCTACACTGTTGCTGGGACTGCGCATTCTGTATATAACTGTGTTGGATGAGTGACAGATGATTGTCCAGACTAGGACAGCGGCATGAACATGACTTTGGTTGGGATTGCGGATAGTTAGGGTTACCTCTGAATCGTGTAGCTTTTATGAGAGCAGCTGTGCAAGTGAATCCACATTAATGCCTTGTCGTGGTGCCATTCCCAGCGCCTGACGATACGCTCTTCTATTGTCTTATTCTGGCAGGTTTTGACGTTTTAAATTTTTTAAAGAAATTTTATTCCTTGGACCAAAAGGTTTGGTTAACCACCCCCCTCTTACTTGCTTTCACATTTTGAGTGTCCAGAGGAAACAGAAAGGAATGAGTGTGTGACGTTGCTGCACGCCTGACTCTGTGCGAGCTTCTTTCTGTGTATATATTTTGTTTTATTTTTTTCCGTGTATATTTTTAATCCCGACAGAACATCATGTGAGATTTCTTTAAAATGGATTAAACGATTTCTTCAGCCTGAAAAAAAAGGTTTTGAAAATGTTTTCTTGTAGTTTTGTTTGGTTCTAAACAACAAATAGGTTTTAATCACTCGAAATGGAATTATATTGTGTATTCATTGAATAAATTTTTTTTGAAAGTAAGCTTCTGAAATCAAGCTGTGATACCAGTCTCTAAGTCTCATCATGTAAAGTGGTGGCCAGGTTCAGATTTTTAAAAATAAACTTAGGAGATTGGAAGGGATTGACTCAGAGGATCCTGGTTCCCAAAGAACACATAGAGAATTACTTGTAAATCGTAACCTCTGCTTTCCTCCCTTACTGGCAGGGCGTAGGGCATCGAAATTTTGGTTGTATTTGAGCTTATCTTCTTATAGGGGTGATGCTATTATACCTTCACGGAGAGAAATAAATTCTCATCCAGCTCTACAACTTTTCATTCAGCTTGAATTCCATATCCTAGGGAAGCAGTCTTGAGTTTCAAAGCAAACCAAGTTATATATATGGCCCTCCTCTAGGTAATTGGTTCTTTTTATTTTTTATTTTTTTTTTTTGAGACAGAGTTTCGCTCTTGTTGCCCAGGCTGGAGTGCAATGGCGTGATCTTGGCTCACTGCAACCTCCGCCTCCCGGTTTCAAGCGATTCTCCTGCCTCAGCCTCCCAAGTAGCTGGGATTACAGGCATGCGCCACCACGTCTGGCTAATTTTGTATTTTTAGTAGAGATGGGCTTTCTCCGTGTTGGTTAGGTTGGTCTCGAACTCCCGACCTCAGGTGATCCACCTGCCTCAGCCTGGGATTACAGGTGTGAGCCACCGTGCCCTTCTCTTTTTTTTTATACATGTGGAAATTATTATATGAACTTTGAATAACCAGGTAAACTTCTGCTTCTCTTTAGAATGTATGTTAATTTTCCAATTTTCTATTAGATTATTAAGTAATTTTTAATGTTCATCTCTAGTAATATTGTCCTTGTGAAAAGAAACTCCTTTTCCCAGTGTATTGGGCTGCTATAATGTGGCCCTCGAAGTTTGTTGTAGTAAAATAAGTGGTTTATATAAGTACCGAATAACTAAATAACACACACAGGTTTCCCTTTTATCTGCTTATCTTGTATTTTGGCGTACCAAAACGTTTTTCTCCTAAATATACAACTGTGCATGATAGTGGGCACCATGCAGGGTGAACAGTAATGCTGTTTGTCTGCATAGGACATTTTGGCTTTAGGAGATCTGCCTCCTTTTATTTATTTCATTGCCTGTCATGTCTCGCTTTGTTGCGTTTTGTTTTTGCTTTTGTTTTTGTTTTTTTTTAAGACGGAGTTTCACTCTTGTTGCCCAGGCTGGAGTGCAATGGCGCAACCTCGGCTCACCGCAACCTCTGCCTCCCGAGTTTGAGCGATTCTCCTGCCTCAGCCTCCCAAGTAGCTGGGATTACAGGCATGTGCCACCACACATGGCTAATTTTGTATTTTTAGTAGAGACGGGTTTTCTCCATGTTGGTCAGGCTGGTCTTGAACTTCTGACCTCAGGTGATCAGCCACCTCGTCCTGTTGGCGTTTTTTAACATTTTATTCATCCTAAAGCCCTCTAGTGTACAACTTTGGCTTTTTATCAAGGCATCCAGAAGCTTGCTTCTGCACAGTTCAGCTAAGTAATTCTAAACCAAAAAAGAGTAATTTTTAAAAATTATTATTTAGGCCGGGCGCGGCGGCTCAAGCCTATAATGCCAGCACGTTGGGAGGCTGAGGCAGGCGGATCACCTGAGGTCGGGAGCTCGAGACCAGCCTGACCAACACGGAGAAACCCCATCTCTACTAAAAATACAAAATTAGATGGGTGTGGTGGTACCTGCCTGTAATCCCAGCTACTCAGGAGGCCAAGGCAGGAGAATCCCTTGAACCTGGGAGGCGGAGGTCGCGGTGAAGCGAGATCACGCTGTCGCACTCCAGCTGGGCACCAAGAGCGAAACTCCGTCTCAAAAAAAAAAAAATTATTTAGACGCCCATTAGATCCGCAAAAACTAATTTTAAACAAAAGTGATTAGTTTCCCACATCTGGGGGATATGATCAATTAGAAAATGGCATGAGGAAGATAGCTTTGCCCAAGCTGGTGTTTCATTTTTGGTTTTTGAGACATTGCTCTATCACGCAGGGTGGAGTGCAGTGGGGCACCATCGTGGCTTTCTGCAGCCTTGACCTCTGGGGCTCAAGAGATCCTCCCACCTCAGCCTCCCGAATGGCTGGGCCCACAGCCACGTGCCACCACACCCAGCCAACGTTTTGATCTTTTGTAGCGACCGTCTCACTGCGTTGTTCAGGCTGCAAGCTGTTGTTTCAAACAGATGAAGTTGGAAAGTTCTTCAGCTTCTCCAGAGTTGTTTTTTTGAATCAAGGGGTTGTGGAGCCTACATGTAAATACAAGTGTGCCTTGAGTTAAATCTCCGGGAAGACTTAGAACGGCCGTGTTGCCAGAGCTCTCCTAGTTAGCCTGCAGGACTGTCTGAAGTCCGTGTCCGTCTGACATGTTACCGGAATTAACAAACCTAGGGACGGTGAGTGCTCCTTCATGTGGCTTTCTGGCTCTCTCACCTGCCACTCAGTGCCGCTGTGACTTAGCAGCCAGAGTTTTCAGGAGACCTCCAACGTGTCCGTTGAAATTCAGGGTAAGAGTTGAGAAGTTTCCCTGTTTGTTCTAAGAGTTCTTACCCCAACCTCAGGGGAAATCAATAGTAAATTTACTCTGACTTCAATGATAATAAAGAAGTGCCCTTGCCTCATCCTCTTTATATAAAGCAATAGAGCCACATGGTTCAAAAATGAAAACAATATGAAAAGGTATTGTAAACCGGGTAAGTGTCTGAGACAAGTCTCGCCCATTTAGAGGTTTATTTTGCCAAGGCTGAGGATGTGCCTGAGACACAACCACAGATCTGTGGCCCCCGCACACTTTCCAGAGAGGATTTTTAGGGCCTCAGTATGTGGGATATGACGACGTTTCTCTTCAAATAATCTGATCAATCTTTTATTCTTTAATTCATAGCGCCCCGCCCCCTTTTTCTCCTTTTCCCTTTTTGCCTTTGTGAGATGCCCAGGCACGCCACAGCACCAGGCGTTATCAGTACCAGCTCACATTCCTTTCCTTATTTGGAAAGAGGACTAACTTTCTAGCTCATTACAGACACCCCTTCCCCTTCCTCTCCGCTTTCTTTTACGGGCCCACCCTATCTAAAAAAATCAAATGTTTAGCCAAGCGCGATTAGTTTAGATTGTACGACCTGACCCCGGCCAATGGGGAAAGGGTAGAGGGGCAGGACTTGTGTCAGGAACAAAGGCTCTCGTGCCCCTTTGTTCAGGTGTGCTCTCATGACAACTGGCCAAGGAGGCACCCCTCTGCACAGAAGTAAAATTGCTTTGCTAAGAATCCTTTGTTCGAGTGTTCTATTTCCTTAGGATTTTGAGCATTATTCCTAACAAGTATTTAAAAGGGAAAGAGCAGGAAGGGAGGGAAGAGGGAAAGGAAAAATACAGGAGGGTAGGTAGGGAGATAAGTGGTTACATTCTTATTAGGCTTTGATCAGCGCTCACCAAATCTACATGTCACAGTGAAAGGAGGGGGTAGAGGAACAGTCAGTTTTGCATTCAGCTCAGTAAATCTACATTTAGCACTCACCAAATCTACATGTTACAGTGAAAGGAGCAGGCAGAGGAACAGTCAGTTTTGCATTCAGCTCAGTAAATCTACATTTAGTGCTCACCAAATCTACATGTTACAGTGAAAGGAGCGGGCAGAGGAACAGTTACGCATTCAGCTCAGTAAGTCTACATTTAGCACTCACCAAATCTACATGTTACAGTGAAAGGAGCAGGCAGAGGAACAGTCAGTTTTGCATTCAGCTCAGTAAATCTACATTTAGCGCTCACCAACTCTACATGTTACAGTGAAAGGAGCGGGCAGAGGAACACTCAGTTATGCATTCAGCTCAGTAAATCTACATTTAGTGCTCACCAAATCTACATGTTACAGTGAAAGGAGCGGGCAGACGAACAGTCAGTTATGCATTCAGCTCAGTAAATCTACATTTAGCGCTCACCAAATCTACATGTTACAGTGAAAGGAGCGGGCAGAGGAACAGTTATGCATTCAGCTCAGTAAATCTACATTTACTGCTCACCAAATCTATATGTTACAGTGAAAGCAGCAGGCAGAGGAACAGTTATGCATTCAGCTCAGTACATCTATGTTTTGTCTCGGCTGGTGAGGGATGGTTTCTGGTGTTGTCTTTGTCCCTTACCTATGAAGATAAGCTGTTAATTTATATTGTCAGGTGAGGGAGACCACCTGGGGAGATATGTGGCCTTCTGTCTTGTAGCTTATCTGTTTAGGAACAAAAGGAAGTTTTTTGCATATTCCATGACTCAATTTCCAAGCTTAACTTTTCCTTTTCGCTTAGTGAATTTGGTCCCAAGATTTTATTTTCCTTTCACAGTATACCCCATGCCCATCAATCCCATTCCCCCTGCATCCTATAGGTAACCTCTTCTTAAGCAAATACAAATAGATAAATCCTTATTTTCTGTTTTTTTTTTTAAAACTTTATTTTACTGTTACTTTCTGCTGTCCTAATTATGGCACATTTTTACTTTCTAGGTTCTGTGATTTACAGAGTGGTCTGGCTATGTGGACAGCTTCTAAATTGTCACCACATTTTGGAGCAAGATGTATTATTTTTACAATTAATTTACATTTAACATGAATCATGATCCTAAGTGCATCAGAATGTCTTCATAACATTCGCCAAAGAAGAGAGGGCAGCACTGCTGTTCTACAGTGTGGCTCTCACCTGGTCCACAGTTACCAGAAATAGTTCTTTCGTTGCTGTGATGTCCTGGGTGGGCTTCATTCTTTAGTAATGTACTTTGTCTACAGCAACTTCCTGCAACTATGTGAACAGATCTTGAAGACACACAGTGAGGTTTGGTTTCCTTTGTCCTCTTAAGTCTTTATGGTTGTTGCTTCTATTGTTTATTGGTCCCAGTGAGAACTGCAGCTGACCTGATGTCATGATCTGTGAAGATAGTTTCTATTAAAGAAGAAGTACCAGGAAATCCCATATGCCACCGTAGACCTGCCTTTCTGGATACCATTTACTACTCCATACTCCAGCCGCCATGCACAATGGTTGTGTATGAGGCTCCTGTGATCATTAACAGGAGTAGAAGCTGGGCTCAGACACTCTGGCACTTGCATAGGTCAAGGGGTGTGTTGTGCTCTTGCAACAAATCCCACATAGACATCCATATGCATATTGTCCCACCGTCCCCTAAGCAGAAACCAGGGTTAAGTACAGAATAGTCCCGGGAACATTTTGGTTGCCCGGCCTTAGGTGAGCCTTTCTGGGGCTGGGATTTTGACACCATCTGCTCCATTGTTTCTAAACTGCTGTGTTCTGGCGCATCAATTGTTTCATCACATTATCATCACGGAAAGCTTGGTCTCCCTCAAAACATGAACCGGGTAGGCCCTGTGTTCCAGTGGGGGCTTTTGGACTTGACTTTAGTGTTTAGGAGGACAGAGTCCCTCTCCCCTCTGTGGTGCTGGGGTATTAGTAAATCAGCCTTGAAGAGATAAGGGGCTGGGGCCTCAACCTCCCAAGAGGCTGTCACTGGAGAATGGTCTCCTGCCCTCAGATCTTGGGCATTTCCACAGCACACTGTCCCCCTCGTCCTTCCAAATACCTACATACGCTCTTGTAATAGGAGAGCTGGGAACTCCACCCAAAACCATACAAAAAGTTAGTCTGTGTATTTGGACGCCTCCCCAGCACTCAGTCACCGAGTTTCTCCTTTCCAACAGCAGTCACTCTCATGCAGTTTAAGTGATTTATTGATGTCTCGGCTAAGCTTGCGACAGTTTCAGGACATTTCAGCCATCAAGGTCTAAGAAGCCCTTTCCATTCCCGAGGAGCCCTCAGCCAGCCTCCTTCTTCCTCATCTCCTCACTCTGGCCGCGTAGCCCCTCATGGCGTCCATCTTGGACGCCCCTTTGTTCGCGCTCCACGCCCCCCACTTCCTTCTTCGTCAGCTCCTCCACTTTGGCCGCGTAGCCCCTCATGGCGTCCATCTTGGACGCCCCTTTGTTCGCGCTCCACGCCCCCCACTTCCTTCTTCGTCAGCTCCTCCACTTTGGCCGCGTAGCCCCTCATGGCGTCCATCTTGGACGCCCCTTTGTTCGCGCTCCACGCCCCCCACTTCCTTCTTCGTCAGCTCCTCCACTTTGGCCGCGTAGCCCCTCATGGCGTCCATCTTGCACGCCCCTTTGTTCGCGCTCCACGCCCCCCACTTCCTTCTTCGTCAGCTCCTCCACTTTGGCCGCGTAGCCCCTCATGGCGTCCATCTTGGACGCCCCTTTTTTCGCGCTCCAAGCCTCCCACTTGGCCCTGGCTCTCACGTCTGAGGCCGGAGGGCCGGGGATGTCGCAGTCGCCCTGGGTGGCCTGTTTGTACAAGCCGTAGACCAGCAGCTTCTCCTGATCGCTCACGGGACCCTTCAGCTGCTTGAGGGCCGCGCAGCTCGAACTCCACTTGGCACATGGGGTGGTGGAGGCGGTCCCTGGTGCTAGAAGCTGGAGGTGGAGAGTTGGAGTGGCTGTTACTACTCGATCTCAGGGGGAGGAGACAGGCACGCGATGTTTGTGTTTTGTCAAGCACAGATTGCAAGCTCGGGGTCCAGCGTAAACCCCACCATGTTTGGGCTCACACGGCGCATTTTCTGGGGAGGACCAGCCGTCAAAAAGCGTCTAGGATCCGGAACGCTGCTGTCTGGAGGGGGCGGCGCGGCAGGAGCGCGTTGAGGGACTGTATGTGGCGCGAGCTGGGCGGGTGGGAGTGGAAGCCTCGCGTGGTGCGGCCGCGCTGGGTGGTGGGCGTCCCGGGGGAGGCGCTCGGTGGGGGTGAACTGTGTGCGGGGCACGCCCGGGGTTACCGGGTGAGGGTGAATGCGGGGCCGGGGAATCATGAGCCCGACCCGCTGGGACCCCGGAAGAGGGGCCGGGCAGGGGACGGTGCGGAGGGGTCTAGTGAGCGACGTCCGGGTACCTGAGGGCTGGTGGGAGGGCTCTGCCGGAAGGCGGCGCTGTGCGCTTGGCGCGCTCGTTCGTGAGGACTGCGCGTGCGCGGCGGAGGCTGTGGGCGGGGCCGGGCGGAGGTTGTGAGCAGGCCTAAGCGCGGCCGCCGTGGCTCCTGCGTCTCCCATCGTGCCGTGCGTCCCGCGCCGCGTTCGAGTTCTCGGAGGGGAGGGGGCGTTAGCCCCGCGCAGCCGCCGGCGTCGCCGCCATGGACCTAGGTGGGTGCCGCGGCTCCCCGGCCCCGGGCTGCGTCCAGCAATGCGCCACCAGAGCGGTGCTGCCCCGTCGCGTCTCCTCCTGTCGCGCACGCTCGCGCGGGCCCGGACCGAAACGTCCCCCGCGTCGGGGCGGGTCTAGGGGTCCCGGGGTGGCCTTGGCGGGGGGTGGTCCGGGTCCCGCCGCGCGTTGGGCCGCGTCTTGCCGCCTCCGGCCCCCTGCGCTTGAAAACACGGAGCAGACGTGAAGTTAGAGCCCTTGGAAGCGCCCGGGGCTCGCGCACGTGCTTTGGGAAACGGGCTCCCTCCGAGCACCCCTGGGCGCCCCGACGGCCTCATTTCCTGAACGGCAGCTGCGTTCTTGAGCAAGTGTCTTAACGCTCCAAGTGTCTTACGCTCATGACGTTTCCTCATCGACAGAGCGGGGAGAATGGAAGTGTGTCTCCCCACTGAGTTTTGGGCGACTTTGCATTGAGATCGCCGAGGTACAGTGTCCCTTGTGGGGTTGCGCGGGTCACACCCGCGGTGGGGGCGGCTGCGCTCCTGAGGTATCACTTTGTGAACCTGCGTGCGTCCGGATTCAGAATCTTACAGGCAAGGTCTGGGAGGGAGCCCATAGGAACTAGATGCTCCCTGCTAAATCTTGGCACACGCTGCTAAGACCAGGAGGCTGTTCTGGGAGAGCTGGGGGTGAGGCACCCCGAGATGTGTCAGCAGTAGTAGGCTGGGGGGAAATGGTCTGGTCCCCGCCCCCAGACAGCTTTTCAGGAGCGGAATGGCAGAGCTCTAAGGGCTTGGAGCCCCTCAGCCGTAATTGCTTCCCAGCCCCACCACATTCAGGCTGGGACACCCTCAGCAAATCGTTTCTGCGCCTCAGTGTCCTTATCTCTAGAGCAGGAATACTAGTCCTCAAAAGGTGATTGTGAATAGAAGAGATCTTACCTGTGTACCACCTAGCACAGTGTCTGGCATGGAGTAGGTGCTTAATAAACCTAAGAAGCGGGCTGTGGCAAGCACTAGTTAACCATCCATGATAGAGTACCGGAGTATTTTCCAGCTAGTAACCGCCCTGGGACTTACTACTTCAAACTGTGCGTACTTAATGCGCCTGGAAGGCAGGTGTTTAGGGCCAAACATCTGCTCAACTAAGCCAATAATGCAATAAAATTAAATTTACAGCGTCAGGAGGGACTATATTTTGGGACCCTGGGAGAGCCTCCTGAGCCAGAAAGAAGGGCGGTAACCCCCAGGGAGGTCCCCTTCGCAGCGTAACCCTCCCTGGGAGTCGGTCTCAGCCACTGTGAGATGAGATGGATTGCCTCCACAAGTGGGTTACATAGTGCTGAGCCCTTGGCCTGCTGCCGCTCCCATAAATGGTGGGAGGGGTAAGATGGTCCTTAGTCTCCTGGAGTCAGTGTTTTCTCTGCTGGTGTCTGGCCTGTGAAAATGGGGAATATGAGCTCTTGGGGGCATGACAGACTGAGGAAGGAGTAGCATCTCTCACTCCTGGGAAAGGGGAGATGACTCAGGAATGAGGAATAGGGAGCAGTGTTTGCACCCTCGTTTTAGTTTCTGGGCCAAAGGAAACATACCTGATAAAGACCTACATCCTTTGATGTTTCTGAGCTGGGGGAGGCAAAGAATAGTGACAAGATTCTGGTCTTGCCAACCATGAAAAGGTTTGGGGAAACCAACATTTACTGAGCACCTAATTAGACTCTGTAACTGGATTCTTACTGTAGCTCTATCTCATTTATCCATCATAGCGTCCCGGGGAGATGGGGTCAGGAGATAGCAGTGCCAACCCACTAGCAAGGGCTTGACTGGTATATATCACATGATCCCCAAAGGCATAACATGAAGTCTGTATTATCCCCACATATGCAGAAGGAAGGCTTGGAGAAGCAATCTGACCAAGATCACATCCCTTTTTTTTTTTCGGAGATGGAGGGGGAGTCTCACTGTGTTACCCCAGCTAGTCTTGAACTCCTGGCCTCAGGGATCCACCTGCCTCAGCCCCCCAAGTAGCTGGGATTACAAGTGCTAGCCACTGAACCTGGCCAGAATCACATCATTTTTAAATGGCTGAACTAGGATTTAAACCCATGTCTGATTAAACATCCCAAGATGTTTTCCATGGTAAGTCTGTGTCAATCGTTAGTTCCCTGAAGGAAGGCTTAATCTAGCACAGTATTTTCTGTATCTACTCCCTGGTTTCTCCCACAGAGCTAGGGCCATGAGTACCTTGTTTTTGACTGGAAGGAGCTGTGGGGTGGACCGTTTCCCTGAAAGCTAGAAGAATGTTTGAAGCCTGTTCCCAAGGCAAGTTTATAAAGAGTGAAGGCAGGGCTTGTCTGATTCCTTCTGTGCCCATTGCTCTGTGGCTATGTGATTGCTCTGTGCCCATTACCCTGTGGCTGTGTGACTGCTGCTGTGCCCGTTACCCTGTGGCTGCGTGATTGCTGCTGTGCCCATTACCCTGTGGCTGTGTGATTGCTCTGTGCCCATTATCCTGTGGCCGTGTGATCGCTCTGTGCCCATTACCCTGTAGCCGTGTGATTGCTGCTGTGCCCATTACCTTGTGGCTGTGTGATTGCTGCTGTGCCCATTATCCTGTGGCTGTGTGATTGCTCTGTGCCCATTATCCTGTGGCTGTGTGATTGCTCTGTGCCCATTATCCTGTAGCCGTGTGATTGCTTCTGTGCCCATTACCCTGTGGCTGTGTGATTGCTGCTGTGCCCATTATCCTGTGGCCGTGTGATTGCTGCTGTGCCCATTACCCTGTGGCCGTGTGATTGCTCTGTGCCCATTACCCTGTGGCCGTGTGACTGCTGCTGTGCCCATTACCCTGTGGCCGTGTGATTGCTGCTGTGCCCATTACCCTGTGGCCGTGTGATTGCTCTGTGCCCATTATCCTGTGGCCGTGTGATTGCTCTGTGCCCATTACCCTGTGGCCGTGTGATTGCTCTGTGCCCATTACCCTGTGGCCGTGTGATTGCTCTGTGCCCATTATCCTGTGGCCGTGTGATTGCTCTGTGCCCATTATCCTGTGGCCGTGTGATTGCTCTGTGCCCATTATCCTGTGGCCGTGTGATTGCTCTGTGCCCATTACCCTGTGGCCGTGTGATTGCTGCTGTGCCCATTACCCTGTGGCCGTGTGATTGCTCTGTGCCCATTATCCTGTGGCCGTGTGATTGCTCTGTGCCCATTATCCTGTGGCTGTGTGATTGCTCTGTGCCCATTATCCTGTAGCCGTGTGATTGCTTCTGTGCCCATTACCCTGTGGCTGTGTGATTGCTGCTGTGCCCATTATCCTGTGGCTGTGTGATTGCTGCTGTGCCCATTACCCTGTGGCTGTGTGATTGCTCTGTGCCCATTACCCTGTGGCTGTGTGATTGCTCTGTGCCCATTATCCTGTGGCCGTGTGATTGCTGCTGTGCCTGTTACCCTGTGGCTGTGTGATTGCTCTGTGCCCATTACCCTGTGGCTATGCTCCCTTCATCTGTCATGAGAAGCTCAGCTGTCATGTCCTGTGGTACATGCTCAGTGGCCCCTGTAGTTTGTACTGTCCTCCTATTTCTAAACCCCTCTCCCCACATCCTCTGCTGGCCCAGCCTTTGCTGGAGGGTCTCGCCTCAGCAGCCCAGCTTTTTCTTTTCACACACTTTTCCTGAAGGATCTCATTCACCGTCTTGGTTCCGGTGATCCCCTCTGGGCAGATACCTCTCAGAATCACATTTCCCAGCTTACTTCCCTCCTGAACTTCCACCTGGCATTTCCGTTGCTGGAGGACATCTGTACCTTGATGGCCAAAGCTGAACTCATCTTTCCTCACACCTGCTCTGATTCTCCTCCATTCCCTGTATGTGATGTCACCTGGTGGCCTCCCAGTTCCCAGGCTGGAGAGCTCGGAAGCCATTCTGGATTCCTCGGCCAAGTCCTTCTGACTCCAGCTGTGCAGTGGCTCTTGTAGTCATCCCTTCTCCCCGTCCGCTGATGTCCTTTAAAACCCTTGTCATCTCAAACCATGACAGCCTACTAACAGCAGTGGCCATCTGGAAACATTTTCACTATACTGTCTTATTTGGCTTGTCTGTGTGCAGGACCCTTGAACATCTGTGAAGAAATGACTATTCTGCATGGAGGCTTCTTGCTGGCCGAGCAGCTGTTCCACCCTAAGGCACTGGCAGAATTAACAAAGTCTGACTGGGAACGTGTTGGACGGCCCATCGTGGAGGCCTTAAGGGAGATCTCCTCGGCTGCAGCACACTCCCAGCCCTTTGCCTGGAAGAAGAAAGCCCTGATCATCATCTGGGCCAAGGTTCTGCAGCCGCACCCCGTGACCCCGTCCGACACAGAGACACGGTGGCAGGAAGACCTGTTCTTCTCGGTGGGCAACATGATCCCCACCATCAACCACACCATCCTCTTCGAGCTGCTCAAATCCCTGGAAGCTTCTGGACTCTTTATCCAGCTCCTGATGGCCCTGCCCACCACCATCTGCCATGCAGAACTAGAGCGCTTTCTGGAACATGTGACCGTTGACACTTCTGCCGAAGACGTGGCCTTCTTCCTGGACGTCTGGTGGGAGGTGATGAAGCACAAGGGTCACCCGCAGGACCCCCTGCTCTCCCAGTTTAGTGCAATGGCCCATAAGTACCTGCCTGCCTTAGATGAGTTCCCCCATCCTCCAAAGAGGCTTAGGTCAGACCCAGACGCGTGCCCCACCATGCCCCTGTTGGCCATGCTGCTCCGCGGGCTGACACAGATCCAGAGTCGGATCCTGGGCCCGGGGAGGAAGTGCTGTGCGCTGGCCAACCTGGCTGACATGCTGACTGTGTTTGCGCTGACAGAGGACGACCCCCAGGAGGTGTCTGCAACCGTGTATCTGGACAAACTGGCCACGGTGATCTCTGTGTGGAACTCGGACACCCAGAATCCCTACCACCAGCAGGCGCTGGCAGAGAAGGTGAAGGAGGCAGAACGGGATGTCAGCCTGACCTCGCTGGCCAAACTCCCCAGTGAGACCATTTTCGTGGGCTGCGAGTTCCTGCACCACCTGCTGCGGGAGTGGGGGGAGGAGTTGCAGGCCGTGCTCCGCAGCAGCCAGGGGACAAGTTACGACAGCTACCGGCTGTGCGACAGTCTGACTTCCTTCAGCCAGAACGCGACGCTCTACCTGAACCGCACCAGCCTGTCCAAGGAGGACAGGCAGGTGGTCTCTGAGCTGGCGGAGTGTGTCAGGGACTTCCTGAGGAAAACGAGCACGGTGCTGAAGAACAGGGCCTTGGAGGATATCACAGCTTCCATTGCCATGGCCGTCATCCAGCAGAAGATGGACCGCCATATGGAAGTGTGCTACATTTTTGCCTCTGAGAAGAAGTGGGCCTTCTCGGACGAGTGGGTAGCCTGCCTGGGGAGTAACAGGGCCCTCTTCCGACAGCCAGACTTGGTGTTGAGGCTGCTGGAAACAGTGATAGACGTCAGCACAGCTGACAGAGCCATCCCTGAGTCTCAGATCCGGCAGGTGATCCACCTGATCCTGGAATGTTACGCAGACCTCTCCCTGCCAGGTAAAAATAAAGTCCTTGCAGGTATCCTGCGTTCCTGGGGGCGAAAGGGCCTCTCTGAAAAGTTGCTGGCTTATGTGGAGGGTTTTCAGGAAGACCTCAATACAACTTTTAACCAGCTCACTCAGAGTGCCTCCGAACAGGGCTTGGCAAAAGCTGTGGCCTCCGTGGCCCGCCTGGTCATAGTGCACCCGGAAGTCACGGTGAAGAAAATGTGCAGCCTGGCTGTGGTCAATCTCGGCACCCACAAGTTCCTGGCCCAGATTCTCACTGCCTTCCCTGCCCTTAGGTTTGTGGAAGAGCAGGGTCCCAATTCATCTGCCACTTTCATGGTGTCATGCCTCAAAGAAACCGTCTGGATGAAGTTCTCTACACCCAAGGAAGAAAAGCAATTTTTAGAGCTCCTGAACTGCCTGATGAGTCCCGTGAAACCCCAAGGGATTCCAGTGGCTGCTCTTCTTGAGCCAGACGAGGTGCTGAAGGAATTTGTCCTGCCTTTCTTGAGGTTAGATGTTGAAGAGGTAGACCTCAGTCTGAGGATCTTCATCCAGACTCTAGAGGCAAACGCGTGCCGAGAGGAATACTGGCTCCAGACCTGCTCCCCGTTTCCACTCCTCTTCAGCTTGTGCCAGCTCTTGGACCGCTTCAGCAAATACTGGCAGCTTCCCAAGGAGAAGCGGTGCCTCTCTTTGGATAGGAAGGATCTAGCGATCCATATCCTGGAGCTCCTGTGTGAGATTGTATCAGCCAATGCTGAGACCTTCTCCCCGGATGTCTGGATCAAGTCCCTGTCCTGGCTCCACCGCAAGTTAGAACAGCTAGACTGGACTGTGGGCCTGAGGCTGAAGAGCTTCTTCGAGGGGCACTTCAAGTGTGAAGTGCCAGCCACACTTTTTGAGATCTGTAAGCTTTCAGAAGACGAGTGGACCTCCCAGGCCCACCCAGGGTACGGGGCTGGCACGGGGCTCCTGGCCTGGATGGAGTGCTGCTGCGTCTCCAGCGGCATCTCGGAGAGGATGCTGTCTCTCTTGGTGGTGGACGTGGGCAATCCTGAGGAGGTCAGACTGTTCAGCAAAGGCTTTCTGGTGGCCCTGGTGCAAGTCATGCCTTGGTGCAGCCCTCAGGAGTGGCAGCGCCTTCACCAGCTGACCAGGAGACTGCTGGAGAAGCAGCTCCTCCATGTCCCTTATAGCCTGGAATATATTCAGTTTGTTCCCCTGCTCAACCTGAAGCCCTTTGCCCAGGAGTTGCAACTCTCCGTCCTCTTCCTGAGGACTTTCCAGTTTCTCTGCAGCCATAGCTGTCGTGATTGGCTTCCTCTGGAAGGCTGGAACCACGTGGTCAAACTCCTCTGTGGCAGTCTGACCCGCCTCCTGGACTCAGTCAGGGCGATACAGGCAGCTGGCCCTTGGGTTCAAGGACCAGAGCAGGACCTGACCCAGGAAGCCCTGTTTGTTTACACCCAGGTGTTCTGCCATGCTCTGCACATCATGGCCATGCTCCACCCGGAGGTCTGTGAGCCACTCTACGTTTTAGCCTTGGAAACCCTCACCTGCTATGAGACTTTGAGCAAGACCAACCCTTCTGTCAGCTCCTTGCTCCAGAGGGCACACGAGCAGCGCTTCTTAAAGTCCATTGCTGAGGGCATCGGCCCTGAAGAACGGCGCCAAACCCTGTTGCAGAAGATGAGCAGCTTCTGACTTGGCGTGGGGAGCTGGGCCCCAACATGGCGGGTCTGCAGAAGATCAGCAGCTTCTTACCTGTGCGGGAGCGAAAAAGCTGGGCTTCAACATGGCAGGTCTGTAGGGGTCAGACCCGAGCAGCCTGGACTTTACAGTTATGTGAAACTGTCCACAAAAAGTCATGGCAATAATGGTGTAAAGAAAATAGTTTCTTGGGTATTTGTAACGTACAAACTATCATAAAAATTCTCCTCTTTCGCATCTCACTTTGTCTCTTCTAAGTCGGCCTCAGCAATAGCCCAGGATTAAATATGCTCTGAAATTGGGTTTAGTGTCTTCAAGATCAAATCCAGCCAGGAGGAACATGTTCATAACTGGACTTTTCCATCCTAGATTTTGGCAAATAAGCCCAAAGTTGAAACCATGTGAGTGGAAAAAGCATTACATGGTACGTATAACCCCCTTCAAGAGTTATTTCGTCTTTTAATGTTTTTTTCTTGAGGTATCTTGGAAAGGACAGCAGCTTGGAAAAGAATCCAGTCCAGCCCTGGCTCTGCCTCTGGCCATGAGACTGCTGTGCCCGAGAGGCCTGCACAATTCTAAAATGAGAGGATTGGAGGACCAAGATAAACTCAGTGGCGAGGGGCTAGGTTAGTGACCTCAAGAAAATGGGTCCCCTCTGAATTGAGGAGTGTGTACAGTCTTTGTTGCTCAGACTAGCCTTGAACCCCTGGACTCAAGTGATCCTCCCACCTCAGCCTCCTGAGTAGCTGGGACAATAAGCACACCCACTTCCCATACAGTCTTAACTCCATCTATTCAGTCACCCCCAAAGGGGCTACTGTGAAGACGAGACCTGGCAAACCCAGCAGAGATGTGCTGAATGGATGGGTCACGTTAGCTTTTGCCTCAGGAGGGGTTGTCAAGATTTGGATGAATGAATGGTTTGGATAAGGGAATGATGTGTGCAGGAACATAAAAAATGAGTTTGGGCCAGGTGCGGTGACTCACACCTGTAATCTCAGCACTTTGGGAGGCCGAGGCGGGAGGATCACTTGAGACCAGCCAACATATGGAAGCCCTGTCTCTACAAAAAAAAAACCACAAAAATTAGCTAGGTGTGGTGACACACAGCTGTAGTCCCAGCTACTCAGGGTTCTAAAGCAGGAGGCTCACTTGATCCTGGGAGGTAGAGGCTGCAGTAAGCTGAGATCAGACCACTGCACTCCAGCCTTGGTGACAGAGTGAGACCCTGTCTAAAACAAAAAAAAAAAAAATTGAGAGTGGGCTAGGCATGGTGGCTCACACCTGTAATAATCCCAGTGCTTTGGGAGGCTGAGGCAGGAGGATCACTTGAGGCCAGGAGTTTGAGACCAGCCTGGGCAACAGAGATAACCTGTCTCTACAAAAAGAAAAAAAAATGAGTTTAAGGTGTCTGAGGTATGAGGAAACTATGAAAATTGGCTGGGGACATGTTTAATGTGTGAGATGAAAGGGGGAAAAAATATGTCCCATCACTCCCTCCATATCCACACCCTCCTTCACAATGGGGCATTACTCAGGTTCTCCTCAGGTAAAGTAGGCTTGGCTCCCTGACCAATAATCGGTCTTCCACTCTCCCAATTCCTAGTAAGATTCACTTATGAAGAGAAGAAACGGTCTCAAGTTACGTGTGACCACTACGCTTGAACTCTGGGAACCTTCAATGTATTACTGAGACCATGAACCACAAAAATAGGTTTGAGTGAGGTGTGAGCTAGACCTTTCTGGAGGCTGAAAGCATTCACACACACACCCCTCTGCTAGTTACATGGACACAGACCTTGAGCCACAGCACACGGCAGCCAGTCGAGCTAGGTCACAGGATGATTCTTACAGGACACTGATATTGATGTATTTCACAAATGAGAATAAGTTGGGAATGTTAGTGCAATTTAATCACCGTAAGGGTGACTTTTAAAGATACACTGATAGTTAAAAAAAAAAGACAATTAAAAAATAGCATTTTGTTTTTTAAATGGCACCCATTAAAGACTCAACAGTCAAAATGAGACAAATCAGTCCTTTAGACGTTCACAGACAATTGAAAGGCACTTTAAAAATCCACTTTTTAAACTACCACTTGAGAACACATGGTAGCACAGTCTTAAATTCATCCTAGTTGATCGGGAATGATGAATGAGTGTTGGCACCAGAAAATCCTGCTTGCAGAAGGGGGCGCAGGTGTCGGTCCACGGGACAGCCACTGGCCAGGCTAGCTGCCGCCTCACTCCGCAGCCTTCTGTGGCTAAATGGCAGGACGGACACACAGGAATGGGCTTTGGACCACAAGCTCTGGCATATCGGGAGGCAAAGCACTCAAGTACTCTGCAGTCTAGATGACACATTTCATGGTTTGGAGGACAGAAGTAGGTTTCCACATCACATGAAAAGGACAGTGTCACAGTGGGGTTACCCAGTAAACAGCTACCAAAGCCATCATTTCACGCTTCCCTGTAGTTTTATGAGCTCGCCCTCTGCATGTGGATATGGGGAAAGCCGGGCATGAAGGGGTGTGTGAAAAAGAACAGCCTCTGTGACTGACTGCAGTAAGCTCACAAGTTTGTCACTGTCAGACTTAGCAAGTCAGCCTGCAAAGGTTGTGCTGATCTCTTGGCCACACTACCTACTCAGGTTCCCATCCATGCCTCCTGCCTGCCCCCACCCCCAGCCCCACCAGTGAGACTTCTGATTGGAAGTCTATAGACATAAGAATTCAACTCTGACCCATGGATGAGAGGATGAGGCAAAGAACCAATGGGTTATCTAGTAAACGATCAATAACTACCTACCCACAATGATTGTCCCAGGCCAATGTCACAAGACGACATTACTTCCAAGAACCAAGTCATCCCTTGCTTCTGCGGGCCCAGTGCCACGGGTACTGTCCTGAGTGGTTTGGAAGGTGGGTAGCCGCTGATACAGGGACAGGCAGATGTGCAGACACTTACCACCCTGGTCCACCGATCCCACCCCATGCTTCCACCTCCCAGAGCTCTTGAGATAAGACCTTAAGAAGGATCCTTGGGCTTGCATTAAAACCACTTTGCTGTCCGTGGAGGTCTGACAGGACCCAATAGTTGTTACTACAAAAGTGCTTTTGCAAATAGGGCAAGTTAGAAGAAGGAGGTAATATGAATATTCTTTAGAAAAACTCAAATCCATCGGCTTATCAATACCCAAAGTCTGAGGCTACCCAGGGCACAATTTGGTCCATGGAATGCTGAGTGGAGGAGGCAGCTGGTGTGAGGCTGCGCCTGACTCCCAGGAGCATTTAGCCATCCTTTTTGGCTTGGGGAGTGTCAAAGAGCCGGACTGCCTTCCTGCACAGCAGACAGAACCAGTAGATCTGAGGAGCTACGAGGAAGGCATTGGCCACGTTGCAGTAGAATGGGATGCTGAAGGGTACTTGGAGCAGGCTTAGTCCCTGCTGGCGGCCATAGGACCAGTACATGAAGGGGAAGAGAAGGATCCGGCAGGAAAGGAAGGTGGCCAGCGTGAGGATTCCATTCACCTTGTACAGAAGGGTGTGCTGCTGCTTTAGCTGCAATAGAAGAGGAAGGAAAAAGGTAAGGTCACCAAGAAGCTGGGCATCAGGGAGCGACGGGCCCAAGTCCCACCACAGTAAATGCCACACAGGTGCAGGTGCTCATCAAGACCTTGGCTGTCAGATTCCCTGGCGCCCAGACGTTTGTCTAGTTTTCTAACACTTGGAGAAGACATTCTTGAACACTATCATATTGAGATGTGCAAATAACCTCATTTTCTCCAATAGTGATTTTGAATTTGACCCAGGCCACCCAGCTGACAGGAGTACAGGAACCGTGGATTAAAGTATGTGTGTAACCAGGGAAAAAATAGAATGAGCTGTATCAAACTATCAAACTTAGATCAAACCTACAATTTCACCCCCACTGGCTGAGATGACCAGCTGACCTTTAAGGCTGTTGAAGGATCTCTCATCCCACTCTCCTGGCACTAGGGATTTCTCCACACCCACCATCTCCGAAGGAAAAGCAGAATCCACTCCCTCCCACACTCTTTCTGCCATTTCATTCATGCATGCCTGAATCAGAACCCTCACTCTCTCTGCCATTCATTCATACATGCCTGAATCAGAACCTTCACTCTCTCTGCCATTCATTCATACATGCCTGAATCAGAACCCTCACTCTCTCTGTCATTTCATTCATACATGCCTGAATCAGAACCCTCACACTCTCTGTCATTTCATTCATACATGCCTGAATCAGAACCCTGCCCAGCGACACAAACGGAGTGCTCAGTTCTGCCGTGAAGATGCAGCCGACAAAGAAGTCCCCAAGGTCTCCCCGGAGCCTCTGCGGATGACGAAACGAAAAGGGGAAGTAAGTGGAGGTTAAGAAACCACCAGAAGGAAAATTCCAACGAGGGCTACTGAAAAGGGTAACTGTGACGGGCAAAGGACGCTCAATAGGCAAGCGCAGACTACTGTACCGCTGCTTCCGTGGCAACAGCACTTTGATGGTCCAAGCCCTAGGATCCAGAGGCAAATTCAGACAGGATGACGGCGTCCCACACCAAGCTCTGAATTTTGATGACAGCCGGAAGGAAGGCTGCAAGCCTACTTTTGTGTATCGAACTTAGTCATGCCAAGACACTCAGCCTGTTTGGTTCAACAAAATGTGCCAGGCCCTGTGCTAGATGTTAGGGTCTCAAAGCACCCTAGATGTTCTGGTTCCTAGATGGTAGGTCCCAGACACTTCTTAAAGAATTTAATGCACGTTACCCTTATTTATTTATTTTATTTTTATTTTTTGAGACGGAGTTTTGTTCTTGTTGCCCAGGCTGGAGAGCAATGGCGTGATCTCAGCTCACTGCAACCTCTGCCTCCCGGGTTCAAATGACTCTCCTGCCTCAGGCTCCTGAGTACCTGGAACTACAGATGTACAGCATCACACCCGGCTAATTTTTGTATTTTTAGTAGAGATGGGGTTTCACCATGTTGGCCAGGCTGGTCTCGAACTTCTGACTGGGATTACAGGCATGAGCCACCTCGCCCGGCCTCTTTTTTCAAGAAAGCAGTAAGCATGGTAAAATATCAGCTCTGCCACTTAGTACCACTGAGAGATATAAGAATACTCTTAGAGCCCCAGTTTCTTCATCTACAGCATAAGACTAATAGCTTCTAATATTTAGCAAGCTATGAACTTTTAAATCACATGCCTGGCAGGGCGCGGTGGCTCACGCCTATAATCCCAGCACTTTGGGAGGCTGAGACGGGAGGATCCCTTGAGCCCAGGAGTTCAAGATCAGCCTGGGCCTCATAAGGAGACCCCCATCTCTTTATTTAAAAAATAAAATAAAACTACATGCCGGCCAAGAGCAGTGGCTCACGCCTGTAATCCCAGCACTTTGGGAGGCTGAGGCAGGTGGATCACCTGAGGTCAGGAGTTTGAAATCAGCCTGACCAATATGGTGAAACCCCGTCTCTAATAAAAATATAAAAATTAGCCAGGCATGGTGGCGTGCATCTGTAAACCCAGCTGCTTGGAAGGCTGAGGCAGGAGAATCACTTGAACCCGGGAGGCAGAGGTTGCAGTGAGCCATTGCACTCCAGCCTGGGCAACAAGAGCAAAACGCCATCTCAAAAAAATGAATAACTAAATAAATGAATAATTAAAAAAAAAAACGCATGCCTTCCCCTGGCCAGGCACTCAAGAGTGAGGAATTTCCCCTCAGCTTTCCCATTGCTTTTCTTTGTTGGGTGGGCTTTTATGGGGAAATGGATCTGGGGAGAAAGTAGGAGGCTATTTGCTTTGAGAATCTGTGTTTTGTGACCTAAGAATAATCCACACAGTGCTCTCTGGCACTGTTATGTTGCTTTGTATTATATTTGTATTTTATATTGTTTTTATCTTGTATTGAACTAAGGATAGAACCTCTGACAAACGCTAGGGAATCACAGAGCGCTGGGGGTTTGTTAAAAAGAATGTTGGGGCCGGGTGCAGTGGCTCGCGCCTGTAATCCCAGCACTTTGGGAGGCCTAGGCAGGAGGATCACTTGAGTCCAAGAGTTTGAGACCAGCCTGGGCAACATGGAGAAACTCTACAAAAATTACAGGAATTAGCTGGACGTTGTAGTGTGTGCCTGTGTTCCCAGCTTCCTGGGAAGCAGAGGCAGGAGGATCACTTGAGGCCAGTAGTTTGAGGCTACAGTGAGCTGTGATCCAACAACTGCACTCCACCCGGGGTGACAGAGTGAAACCCTGTCTCAAAAAAGAAAAAGTATGTTGATGTTGATGTTGGTAAGGAGGATCATGAACGTTTCATGTGTAATGGTGTTCCTCCACTATTCACCTGGGGGAGGTGGCTCTGAAGCAGCAGGCACAAGGAGAATGGGTGCCTATGAGTGGCAAAGAAAAGAGGGGCAATCCCGACTCCTAAGTAACGGTCAAGACATCCAGCTCAGGCCGGGCGCAGTGGCTCATGCCTGTAATCCCAGAACTTTGGGAGGCCGAGGCGGGCGGATCACTTGAGTTCAGGAGTTTGAAATCAGCCTGGCCAACATGGCAAAACCCCATCTCTACTAAAAATACAAACATTAGCCGGGCGTGGTGGTGGGCACCTGCAATCCCAGCTACTCAGGAGGCTGAGGCAGGAGAATCGCTTGAACCCGGGAGGCGGAGGTTGCAGTGAGCTGAGATCACACCACTGCACTCCAGCTGGGGCGGCAGAGTGAGACTGTCTCAGAAAAAAAAAAAAAAAAAGACACCCAGCTCAACCCAGCTGCTGGTCTGCTGTCCTGGAAGGCCATACCTGTGCGACTGGCACAAGGACAAAGAGAATGACCGCATGATGTGTGATCATGAGGCGGTTTCGACTTAGGAAGTTTCGAAGAGTGAGGGAGGGCGCACGGTTCTGGTCTCTGGTTCGGCACCATTCACAGAGGTACATGGCGTACGAGTCATAGATCATGTATGGAATCAGAAACCACACATATTCCCGGGCAAGCCAGTGCCTGAAAGAAAGCATATGAATGGCCCGTGAAATCATTGTGGATATCCATTATGAAGGCTCACAGCCAAGCTTGGTGCTTGATCAGCTATTATTATTCCAAATACTTTACAATAAAGATGTTGAAACTGATAAACAGGGAGAGTAGACCACTTGCTCTCAGTTTCAGGGCCAATTCGTGAGTGTCAAAGGCAAAAAGCAGGCATTCACTCAGCCCTGCCTGTTGAAGCAGCTTGCTGTCACTACTTGCCTGACTTAGCTACTAATTTGTAGTAGATGTTCTGGCATTTTGTGATAAAACTGATTTTGATATAGATAGATATACAAATGATTCAACGGCCCCACCAAGAAGCTGGTTTGGAAAGTGTCCCAAATCACAAATCCAACATTTCTAGTTTAACTCCTTAGCTGCTCAACAGTTGGGGGTTTTACTAACTTAAATCCTGGAACCTGTGAGTTTTCTCTTGTCTGCATGCAACCCCACTCTATGGAGTTTCTGGGAGGCAACCCTGGCCATTTTCTTTACAATTCTAGAGCTGGCCGGGTTCGGTGGCTCACACCTGTAATCTCAGCACTTTGGGAGGCTGAGGCGGGTGGATCACTTGAGGTCAGGAGTTCAAGATCAGCCTGGCCAACATGGCGAAACCCCGTCTCTACTAAAAATACAAAAATTAGTCAGATGTGGTGGCGCACACCTGTAGTCCCAGCTACTTGGGAGGCTGAGGCAGGAGAATCACTTGAACCCGGGAGGCGGAGGTTGCAGTGAGCCGATATTGCGCCACTGCACTCCAGCCTGGGCGACAGAGTGAGATTCCATCTAAAAAAAACAAAAACAAAAAAACCCAAAAAGCAATTCTAGAGATAATCTCAATTCCATTAAGAAAAACAGGTCTGGAGGCTGGGCGTGGTGGCTCACACCTGTAATCCCAGCACTTTGGGAGGCCAAGGCAGGTGAATCACAAGGTCAGCAGTTCGATACTCGCCTTATCAACATTGTGAAACCCCGTTTCTACTAAAAATACAAAAATTAGCTGGGCATGGTGGTGTGCACCTGTACTCCCAGCTACTTGGGAGGCTGAGGCAGGAGAATCGATTGAATCTGGGAGGCAGAGGTTGCAGTGAGCCGAGATCGCGCCACTGCACTCCAGCCTGGGCAAAAGAGTGAGACTCCGTCTCAAAAAACACACAAAACACAACAAAAAAAAGCAGGTCTGGAAATGAGCCTGGAGCTCAAGGGCCACATTACAGCGGTTAGGTACCAGGAGAGAGGCTAGGTCAAAAGACAGTTTTCCCATTTACTTATCCAAAGGGGCTGAATCAGTATTTGCTGAATGGAAATCATAGTTGATCACCGTCCTAGAGCAGATTAGAAGGGAAGCCTCTACAATTCATACAATGTGGTTCCCAGTGATAAGCATTCCACAGATGTTTTCTGTGAAGAAACATCTAAATTGAAATCATGTACTATTTGAGGATTCCATTCACATGGTCAGCAAACGTTTGATGCGCATCCACGTATTAGGTAGAAAACCATTTCGTTTTATGGTTCTCAAACTACCTGAACATCAGAATCACCTGCAGTGCTTGTTAAGCGCTCCAGTCCCCAGAGATTCTAAATTGTAAGCCGAGGGCCCTGAAATCTGTATTAACTTTGTCTCTGATTTCGGACGCAGCCAGTCCGCTGAACTGCAACACTGGAAATACAGTCTACGGAGGCGCCATCTGAATTTGTGCTCTTGAGCAACTCCACACTTACCACGGCGTAAATAATGAATAAACAAATAAGGCAAGCAAGTAATGGCAAGTATAACACACTTGTAGGTGAATTCATTAGCCAGGTTCCTTTTTTTTTTTTTTTTTTTTGGTTTTGGTTTTTGAGACAAAATCTTGCTCTGTCGCCCAGGCTGGATGTAGTGGCGCGATCTCAGCTCACTGCAACCTCTGACTCGTGGGTTCAAACGATTCTCCTGCCGCAGCCTCCCGAGTAGCTGGGATTACAGGTACCTGCCGCCACGTCCGGCTATTTTCTTTTTTTTTTTCTTTTTAAGTAGCGATGGGGGTTTCACCATGTTGGCCAGACTGGTCTCAAGCTCCTGACCTCAAGTGATCCGCCCACCTCGGCCTCCCAAAGTGTTGGGATTACAGGCAGGAGCCACCGCACCCGACCTAGCTAGGTTTCTTTTGGCCAAAAAGATGCCATACTTATTCCAATGCCCATCTATGGTCTCAGGTGCTTTCTTCAAGCAATTTCAAGTAAAATACCTATAAACAGCTACTAAAATTTAGCTGAAATATAACTGGCCTCTCCCCTTGAAGGGAACCTAGGGTTTTCATGTTTTCACCAATTCAGAGAAGAGATCTGAAATTGTGACTCATGAGTAGAATCCTCTGAAGATTTATTAGCAAGAGATCTGGATTATAATCTTCACTATCACTAGCCTGTGATTTAACTTTCTTTGTAAAATGAAGATGATAATCCTTGTCTGTCTTACCTGTCAAAACTGCAGTGAAGATTAAATAATTAAATGTGGGAAAGTCGGCCGGGCACGGTGGCTCATGCCTGTAATCCCAGCATTTTGGGAGGCCGAGGCGGATGGATCACCTGAGGTCAGGAGTTCAAGACCAGCCTGGCCAACATGGCTTTACTAAATATACAAAAATTAGCCAGACGTGGTGACACATGCCTGTAACCTCAGCTACTCAGGAGGCTGAGGCAGGAGAATCACTTGAACCTGGGAGGTGGAGGTTGCAGTGAGCCGAGACCTCACCACTGCACTCCAGTCTGAGTGACAGAGTGAGACTCCATCTCAATAAAAAGAAAGGCGGCGGGGAGGGGGAGTCCTTTTAAATGTTAAAAGGTACTATACAGGCTGGGCACGGTGGCTCACACCTATGATCCCTGCACTTTGGGAGGCCTGAGTGGGAGAATGGCTTGAGCCCAGGAGTTCAGACCAGCGTGGGTGACAGAGCCAGACCCTGTCTAAAACAACAACGTACTATCTGAATTAAGTACTTAAATTGAGAAAACCACCTGGAGCTGTGACTTTGTCATTTTAGTGTCTGAATCCTTTAAGAATCTGACTAAATCCTTGGCCCCATACCACCTTCTGCCTATAATTTGGGGGGATTTTTAACTCCTTCTATCTAATCGCATTCTATGTGAAGGCATAAAATGAGAAGGCATATAATAGAAAAATATTCAGTATATAGTATATGAACCCTGAAAGGCCTTTTTTGGCTGGGTGCAGTGGCTCACGCCTATAATCCCAACACTTTGGGAGGCCCAGGCAGGAGGATCGTTGGAGCCCAGGAGTTCAAGACCAGCCTGGGCAACGCAGGGAGACCCCTGTCTCTACCAACAACAACAAAAAAAAGTTAGCCAGGTGTAGTAGTGTGTGCCTGTAGTCCAAGCTTGGGAGGCTAAGGAAGACGGGTGGCTTGAACCCTGGAGTTCAAGACTACAGTCAGCTGTCATTATGCCACTGCACCTCAGCCTGAGGTCTCGACAGGAAAAAAAAAAAGTAAAAAATTTGCTGGGTGTGGTGGCTCATGCCTGTAATCCCAGCACTTTGTGAGGGTGAGGCAGAAAAATGACTTGAGCCCAGGAGTTCAAGACCAGCCTGGGCAACATAGTGAGACCCTGTCTTTAAAAAAAAAAGAAGAAGAAGAAGAAGAAAAATTGTACCCAGCCACACCAATATTAACCTTTGGTGTCTACAATCGATGTCACTTGATCTATCGTAGCATCTACTTATTCATCGCCAATAGCCAGTTTTGTTTTTAAAAAGGCAGAAGAAAAGCACAAAAATCATGACAGCAGGATTGATCCCAGGTAAGACCGCAGGCTAGAGTGAGACGGACAGCTTGCTCAGGCCCCTCGCAGTTCAGTCTCAGCAGGTGAGAAGCAGGACTTGGCAGAGCCCACAGGAGAGCAGGGCCTGGAAAGGCCGTTCAACTTCCTGCACATCCGACTGTGGTCCTTCAACTTGGGAGAAAGTGAGTGTGATTCCAGCAAGACCGGTGGGGAAAAAAAAGGCTTGAAATAATAAAAGCACCACCATTGTCCAGGTCTAACTACTGTACAAAGTCGACTATTCTGGTCTTAATTTATGATTTGTTTCACTGGAACTGCAGATAGGTGCACATTTCCTGACCTGCCTCTGGACTGACCTCTGATAGACGTACAAGTCCGTGTTCTAAGCGCTGGGAACCTCTCAATCACCTTTAGCAAATCTGCAGGAAAAGCAAGAGCGGCGTTTGCGTGGAAGGGGGTGGTGGGTTGGTTCCTTTCCATGGAGGGGGCTCTGCTAACCACACTGGACGTCTGTTAGCCAGTGATGCTCCAGAGTGAGAACCCAGTGAAGCCAACTGCAAGAATCAAGCCACACTCCCAGTCGTAAATGCTTCCACGCTTATCTCTTCCATGAAGGACCTGGATCCCTGGCTCACACCACCTGAAATCAGACTCCGACTCTGTCGTCCTCCCTCATTTCCGTGGACTTTCTCCTAAGCTGGGGGTGCCCGAAGACTCCGGAGAGGAAGAAGGAGCCCATTGTGGTGCCAGCTTTTCCCATTAGTCAGCTTTCTGAGCGCGTGTGCTGCGAGAGCCAGAGCCTGCGAGCTACTGAAATGTGACATTTGCAACAAGGCCCCGGCCCGGGCTCTTACCTGCCGGTGATCACGTCGTCGCAGGAGCGAATGATGACGATCCCCGAGCCGGTGGCCAGCACGGCGTGCACCGAGGAAACCAGCCTAGCGCGGGCGGAGAGAACAGCGCGCGCGCTCAGTCCGGTCCGAGGACCGCAGGGAGCCCGGCCCGGCCCTTCGGCCTGACTCTCCCCAGCCGCAGGCAGATGTGGGGAGCGGGCTCCGGAGGCTCATCGGCCATTCCCGCCCGCCCCGGCCCCGCTCCCGCCAGGGGAGGACGCGGAGGGGCTTCGGAAACTCGGGCCGCCGGGACGCGGAGGGAGCAGCCCCCGGGCTTCCTGCCGCCCCCCTTTTCCGCCCTGGGCCCCGCGGCCGGGTGGGGTGCGGTGGGCAGCGCCCCGGGCCTCGGGGGGCGTCTCGGCGGCGCCGGTACCTGGTGCTGATCATCACGCAGTCGGTGCGGCTCCATCCGGGCTGGGAGCGGCGCAGCGCCCAGGTGCAGAGCGCGAAGAGCCCCGGGAAGAAGAGCGCGCCCCCGGCCAGCGTCAGCAGCATCGGGGCTGCGGGTCCGGCCGCCTCGCTGGCGCCGCGTGGCTGGGTTCGGCTCGGCGCGCCCCGGCCCGGCCGCGCGATTTCAACCCTCCGCCCCCGTCCCCGTCCCGCCTCCGCCCGGCGCTGGCCCCGATCCCGCGGCGCGGCTCTGCGCGTGACCAGGCCCGGCGGCTGCGATAGGGCGGGGCGGGGTCTCTCGCGGTCCCTGGGCCCGGAGGGTTCCCCGGCGTCCCCGGCGGGCGGGTGGGCGGGGGCGGAGGCGGGGACCGAGGCGGCGGCTGTGGCCGGGGCCGCGGCGCGCGCGCGTTCCGAGTCCGCCGCTCCCTCCCGAGCGGCCGCGGGGCCCAGGCGGAGGCGGGAAGGGCCGCGGCTCCCGGCTTCTGTTCCGTCAGCGGACGCGCCCCTCCCCGACCTGCTCTTCTCGCCGGCCCCGGGCGAAGGGGCGGGGTGGGCGCGGGGCCGAGGAAGCCAGGTAGGAACCCCCTCCGGGGTGGGGCGAGGCCCGCGGGGAAGGAAGGAGGGAGGCGGCGTGTGGCCCTGGGTTCGCGGGCCCCGTCCACCAAGCCCTGGTGCTTCTCGGTGGGAGGCCTCAGGATGTGGCCTCTCCCCGCACGGCCGAGATGCTTTTCCCGGTGCCGCCAGCGGCTGCAGCCGCTCCGGGGTGGCCCTCAGGAAGCGTGAGGTCCGGGGGCCTCCAGCAGCCCCTCTCCACCTGCACCAGGAGGCGGACTGTGGAGGCTGCAGGCTCTTACTGCCTCTCGGCTTTGGATCTATCCGGAGACACCATCCAGAGGCGTAGGGACTGTGGTGTTGTTCACAACGTGTCGTTATTTAAAAGTATCGGGGTCGGGCGCGCCTGTAACCCCAGCACTTGGGGAGGCCGAGGCGGGCAGATCACTTGACGTCAGGAGTTCGAGACCAGCCTGACCACCACGGTGAAACCCCGTCTCTACTAAAAATACAAAATTAGCCAGGTGTGGTGGTGCCTGTCTGTAGTCCCAGCTACTCTGGAGGCTGAGGCAGGAGAATCGCTTGAACCTGGGAGGCAGAGGTTGCAGTGAGCCGAGATCACGCCACTGCACTCCAGCCTGGGCCACAGAGCAGGACTCTGTCTCAAAAAACAAACAAACAAACAAACAAAAAAACAGTTATCGGGACAGGCGTCTAAACTTGAATGAATTGGAATACATTTCATTTGTGCCAAGCACCAATCACATGGATGAAGACAGGAATTTCAGTATCATTGGCTTCTGTCCTTTAGGAACTACCAGCTTTATTTTGCTTTGGTCTGTATCTTCCTCAGCTAACAAACGTAGGGGGTGGGAAATACAGTTCATTTATGTTACTACAAATGAAAGGTATGACGGGTCTCCTCAGATCACCGTCATGCAAAATGCTGACCAAAATCCCGTATGAGGACTTCGGAACAGCTGGGCTCGGCTCTCTGGGCCACGATTTGCTGGTCCGTGAAATGAGAGGGAGGCTGGATCACTAGCTCTTTAACGGTCTTCCAGCTCTAGATTCTTATGAGTCTATGACTTTTACAAAGTGGCAGATGATTTCTGTTAGGTGCCAGTTAAATTACTTTAACACGGCAGTTAGTGATGTAGGAACTGGTGTAGAGTGAGCACAGCTTTTGTTTTTTTCAATTTGGATTCATTCATGATGGAGTCTGAAGATGTTTCTCAGGTTTAAAAGATAGTTTTCCTTCAGTGGTAGTATCAGTTACTAGGCTGTGACCTTTTGGAATGAATGTAGCCTCTAACATCTTCCTATATGTGGTTAAGAAAAGGGACTTAGCCAACAGGACGGTGGCAGACAGCCTCAAGAAAAGCCTCAAACTTCGTCCACTTAGGGCAACATCTCTAACTCCCAAATTCACTGCTGACATACTCAGTGAAAGGAGAAAGCCACTTCAGGTTGGTCCCAAGATATCTGACAAATGCGACGCTCTCTTTATTTTCACATTCGCTTGTGGACAAAACCAGCTACCTGTGAACTCTCCATTCTCTCCAGGAAAACGACTCTGTGCAGTCCACTGTCTCTTTCCTAAGCATTTATCACAGTGACCTCCAGCGCCAGTGTTTCCAGAGAGTGACAGGTGGTTACAAGTCCTCCCTGCCTTCCCTCCTTAAAGGGAGCAGCAGCTTGGCAGTGAGTATGCTGGCACCTTTGAGTGGTGGGAACCAGTCTCCCCTACACAAGAAGCTGTAAGGCATCTTTATGAGTTGAAAACAAAACAACCGATGTTTCATGTATAGAAAATAGCAAGTAAAGGCCGGGCGCAGTGGCTCATGCCTGTCATCCCAGCACTTTGGGAGGCCGAGGCGGGCGGATCACGAGGTCAGGAGATCGAAACCATCCTGGCTAACATGGTGAAACCCGGCCTCTACTAAAAATACAAAAAGTTAGCCGGGCGTGGTGGCGGGCGCCTGTAGTCCCAGCTACTCGGGAGGCTGAGGCAGGAGAATGGCATGAACCCGGGAGGCGAAGGTTGCAGTGAGCCAAGATCGTGCCACTGCACTCCATCCTGGGCAACAGAGCAAGACTCTGTCTCAAATAAAAAAAAAAAAAAGAAAAAAGAAAATAGCAAGTAAGATCAGTTTCAACACCATGCTCAGTGAAGTCACCAGACTGTTTATGTTGAATCACCATAAAGCTAACAAGCAGAAACATGAACCTTAGCTTTTCAAGCGATCAAACCCCTGTCGGCAAATGGTAAGGCCAAATGAAAAACACGGGGCCTGGTTTACACAAACTTCCCCTCATCCTTCAAAAGTCTCGAATCAGCTGTTTCCTTCTCTAAGAAGGTTTCCAGGTCTGCCTTTGGGTTTGGGTAACGAGGCTGTTGTTTTCTCATTTGTATGTTTCTCCACCAGACTGTTAGGTCCTAGAAACAAGGACTGTGTCTTTTCATTTTGTACCCCAAGTGAGGCTGGCACATTCTGAGGGTGCAATACATGTTTCATACTTTCCAAAGCTCATACCTGTTGAGTACTTACTGTTTGCTAGGTCCTATGTCAGATGTTTTGTCTACATTGTCTCATTAAATCCTCACAACAGATGTTATTCTCACTCTGTGTGTGTGTGTGTGTGTGTGTGTTTGTGTGTATCAGCAAAATGAGACTCAGACCAGAGCAATTTAAAAATCGCCCCAGGTCACACTGCTGGTGGCGAGCTGGGATTCAAACTCAGTACTTTCTGCCTTTAGTTCCATGTGCCGGATGACTATACTGCCTTCAAGCCTGATAAGCAAGGAGGGAATAATAATCTTTCACAATATAGTTTCTGATGAATACTGTTCCTAATTATTTACTCATAAATTTGTATGGTGAATTGATGGGCTCTGATGCTGCCATGAACAGTATTCTCTGTTTATATGTAACTTTACAAATTTTCAAAGCACTTTCACGTGTAGTAGCTCACCTGGGTCTCAAAATAACCCAGTGAGGTTGGCTAAACCTGTTATTTCCATGTTACACATGAAGAAAGCGAAGTGCAGGATGGGCCGCTGACTCACCACCCTGTGAAGGGACAAGGCTCAGGTTAGAACCTGTTCCAGGGTAATTTCCACTACTCCAGGCTGTGGGGCTGGGTTTCACCAGTTTGTCATTACACTGCTTGTGTGGGTTTCCAGAGTGAAATTTGGGCTACTTAATGCCAACGTAAAACTCACTTACCAAATGTAGACTGTCGCCCCCTTGAACAGAGAATTTATAAAGCTCCCCATTCTAAAGGGCTACGGAGGGATTTTTCTGCCATGAAAGCATGTGGGCCTGCCTTTCCATCTCCTCTCCCCCATTCCTCTGGACCCCACTCGCTATCATTAAGGAATAGGACACAGGGACTCTCCCCATATCTGTTTCCTGGTTTCTTCAGCCTTAAATGGAAAATACCGTATTTACTTGTAAAATACTTTGTGAGTTCTCAAGTGAATGCCATTAAGATATGTGATGTGTGGGCAACTACCCTTGATCGAGGACCTTTTCCTCCTATCTGGGAAAATCATGTACATGAGAAAGAAGTGAGATCACACGTGAAGCGCCTCCACGTAGTGAGCTCCCGAACCAAAAGGGAACTTAGGGGTCTCTGTCCGCTCATCCACTTTAAAAATCCTAACACAGCCTGGGCACAGCAGCTCACAACGGTAATCCCAGCACTTTGGGATCCGTCCAAGGTGGGTGGATCACTTGAGCCCAGGAGTTGGAGACCAGCCTGGACAACATGGCAAAACCCTGTCTCTCAAAAAAAAAAAAAAAAAAAGCCAGATGGGTGGAACCCACCCCAGTAACTGTAGTCCCAGTTACGCAGGAGGCCGAGATGGGAGGACTGCTTGAGCCTGGGAGACAGAGGTTGCAATGATCCCAGATTGTGCCACTGTACTGCAGTCTGGGCGACAGAGCAAGAACCTGTCTCAAATAAATAAATAAATACCCTAACAGAGAAAATGGACATCTGTTCTGAAGTAAAAGTTACTTTGTGTAGACCCATACTTCATTTCCACAGTAGGGACCATTGAAGCAGAGAGAGGGCAGGAAGGACAAAAGGAGAATGAAGAAATAGGAAGAGACATAGAAAGATACGGCACAGGGGGTGGGCACGTGGGCACGGTGGCTCCTGCCTATTATCCCAGCACTTTAGGAGGCCGAGGCGGGAGGATCACTTGAGCCCCGGAGTTGGCTCCTGCCTATTATCCCGGCACTTTAGGAGGCCGAGGCGGGAGGATCACTTGAGCCCAGGAGGTGGCTCCTGCCTATTATCCCGGCACTTTAGGAGGCCGAGGCGGGAGGATCACTTGAGCCCCGGAGTTGGCTCCTGCCTATTATCCCGGCACTTTAGGAGGCCGAGGCGGGAGGATCACTTGAGCCCAGGAGGTGGCTCCTGCCTATTATCCCGGCACTTTAGGAGGCCGAGGCGGGAGGATCACTTGAGCCCCGGAGTTGGCTCCTGCCTATTATCCCGGCACTTTAGGAGGCCGAGGCGGGAGGATCACTTGAGCCCAGGAGGTGGCTCCTGCCTATTATCCCGGCACTTTAGGAGGCCGAGGCGGGAGGATCACTTGAGCCCAGGAGGTGGCTCCTGCCTATTATCCCGGCACTTTAGGAGGCCGAGGCGGGAGGATCACTTGAGCCCCGGAGTTGGCTCCTGCCTATTATCCCAGCACTTTAGGAGGCTGAGGCCGGAGGATTACTCGAGCCCGAGAGTTAGAGACCAGCCTGGGCGACATGGTAAAACAAAAAAATACACTAATTAGCCGGGTGTGGTGGCGTGTGGCTGTAGTCCCAGCTACTCGGGAGGCTGAAGTGGGAAGATTGCTTGAGCCCGGGAGGTTGAGGCTGCAGTGGGCCATCATCACAGCACTGTACTCCAGCCTGGGTAACAGAGTGAGATCCTGTCTCAACACACACACACACACACACACACACACACACACACACACACACACACAACGCCAGTATACACTTTGATACAGGAAGATAGACATAGAGATGAAGATCTAAAGATTGGCACAACAACAGAACACGAGGAAAAGGTCAGACACGGAAAGAAAGGAAGGAGGTGTCCAAAGAGGAGAACAACAGCCTTCTGCGGAACTTCATTCTCTTTGGCAACAAAAGCCACACTGCGTCTGAAGAAATACGGTTCAGAGAATGAGCTGACTTGCTCTTAGGACTTTGAGTGTGGCCAGAAAGAAGTCAATCACCCTGCTCTTCATTTCTCCTTCACTTTGTTTGCCTGATCAGTGTAGCCCTGAGCTGATATGTGTGTGTGCGTTTCTCTGGCAGACCACATGCCCCTGACGGTAGGGGCCGTCTGCCTGGGAGGCAGCCACTGCATAGCGCATTGGAGTTGGGATCCGAGAACCTGAGTTCCAGTCCACGCTCCACCACCTGGAAGCTGTGTGACCTGGAGAAAACACTTTGCCTCCTTCCCCAGTAAAATGGCGGTTCCTGCCTCTACCCTCCAGGATGGCTGGGAGAATTAAATGACATCCTATTTTCAAAACGTTAAACTGTGTGCTCGGCACAGGCAGGGGATTCTTGTTCTTTATACCGGATCCTCAAGGCATAGCCCCCTGCTGTTAAACTTCTCAACAAGCACCTGCTGGATTACAGATTCCCTAGGTGGCCTTAGCCCGACTCCAGACGGCAGCTTCCTTGGTTTTATCTTAAGATTCTTTGCAAGAGCAAACTGTGAGGCCGGGAAGCACAGCCACACCCCAAACCCATGGTTTCTACAAACAGCGACCGCAGCTGCATGCTACACGGGAGACTCCGCTCTGATTCCTGCCGGTAAAAACCGTAATTTACACAAGGAACCGATGATGGAGTGCTGCTTTTATGTATTGCTGTGTATTTTTCAAAGCACTTTCACATACATGTTTCTTTTGCTAAAAATGCAAAATCTGGCTTGTTTGCAGATAGTCACACCTATCTAAAAGCAAACATTTCTAAACTCAGGTTTCAAAAATATTTAAGGGCTGGCTGGGCACAGTGGCTCACTCCTGTAAATCCAGCACCTCGGGAGGCCAAGGTGGGCGGATCGCTTGAGGCCAGGAGTTCCAGACCAGCCTGGGCAACGTGGTGAAATCCCGTCTCTACAAAAAAAAAAAAAAACAAAAAAAAACTTGTTGTGATGTTGCGTGCCCGTAGCCCCAGGCACTTAGGAGGCTGAGGTGCGAGATCACCTCAGGTTGAGCCTGTAGTGAGCTGTGACTGTACCAGGCACTCCAGCCTGAGTGGCAGACGGAGACACTGTGTCAGAAGAACAAAGGTGGGGGTGTGTTCCTCACTCTGTTGCCCGGGCTGGTCTCAAACTCCTGGCCTCAAGCGAGCCTCCCACCTTGCCTCCTCAAATGCTGAGATTACAGGCATGAGCCACCACGCTGGGCTTCAGACCTACTACATTTTGTCTGTGGCAAGCATGTCACACTTGTGAGGAAAACAAGGACAAGGAAAACCGCAGAAATGATTAGCCAGCACTTTGGGAGGCCGAGGCGGGTGGATCACGAGGTCAGGAGATCGAGACCATCCTGGCTAACACGGTGAAACCCTGTCTCTACTAAAAATACAAAAAAATTAGCTGGGTGAGGTGGCGGGCGCCTGTCGTCTCAGCTACTCGGGAGGCTGAGGCAGGAGAATGGTGTGAACCCGGGAGGCAGAGCTTGCAGTGAGCCGAGATCGCGCCGCTGCACTCCAGCCTGGCGGACAGAGAGAGACTCCGCCTCAAAAAAAAAAAAAAGAAAAAAGAAAAAAGAAAAAAAAATGATCCAAAAGAATTTTTCAAATGATACAAACTAGAAATACACAGAAGAAATATAAAAAGGCCCATTGAAAACTTTATAAGTAGGCCGAGCGCGATGCCTGTAATCCCAGTGCTTTCGGAGATGAGGCACGAGGATCACTTGAGACCAGGAATTCGAGACCAGCCTGGGCAGCGTAACAAGACCCTCTACAAAAACATTTAAAAATTATCCAGGTGCGGTAGCATGTGCCTGCAGTCCTGGCTACATGGGAAGCAGAGGTGGGAGGATCCCTTGAGCCCAGGAGTTGGAGGCTTCAGTGAGCCATGATCCTGCCATTGCACTCCAGCCTGGGTGACAGAGCGAGACCCTGTCTCTCAAAATAACACACACACACACAACTTTATCAGTGAATATGGAAAAGACGGAAAATATCCACTGTGCCTAAGTATATAAGGACGTAAGCACTTTTTTACAGTGCTGGTAGAATTAAAGTAATATAGGATTAGGCCAGGCGCAGTGGCTTACGCCTGTAATCCTAGCACTTTGGGATACAAAAATTAGCTGGGTGTGGTGCCGTGCGCCTGTAATCCCAGCTACTCAGGAGGCTGAGGCAGGAGAATCGCTTGAACCCAGAGGTGGAGGTTGCAGTGAGCTGAGAGTGTGCCACTGCACTCCAGCCTGGGCAACAGAACGAGACTCCGTCTCAAAAAAAAAAAAAAAAAAAAAAATATATATATATATATATATATATATATAATATTGTTTATAATAGCAAAAAATTAGAAACAACCCAAATATTTAGGAATAGAATAAATAGGGCTGGGTGTGGTGGCTCACACCTGTAATCCCAGCACTTTGGGAGGCCGAGGTGGGTGGATCACTTGACGTCAGGAGTTCGAGACCAGCCTGGCCAACATGGCGAAACCCCAACTCTACTAAAAACACAAAAATTAGCCAGGTGTGATGGCACGCACCTGTAATCCCAGCTACTCAGGAGGCTGAGACAGGAGAATCGCTTGAACCTGGGAGGCAGAGGTTGCAGTTAGCCGAGATAGCGCCACTGCACGCCAGCCTGGGTGACAGAGTGAGACTCTGTCCCAAAAAATAAAAAAAGGAATAGAATAAGTAATTTACAGTATGTTCCAACTATGGAATACTCTGTAGCCATTAAAAGAAGAAATATAGCCGGGCGTGGTGGTGTGCACCTGTAGTCCCAGCTACTTAGGAGCCCAGGAGGTCAAGGTTGAAGTGAGCTATGATTGTACCACTGCACTCCAGCCTGGAGGGCTAAGTGAGACCCTGTATTTAAAAAAAAAAAAAAAAAAAAAAAAAGGAGAAACAGACCAACATATAGACAAGCCTCCTGAGTAGCTGGGATTACAGACATGTGCCACCACACCCAGCTAATTTTTTGTAGTTTTAGTAGAGACGGGGTTTCACCAGGTTGGTCAGGCTGGTCTCAAACTCCTGACCTCAGGTGATCCACCCACCTCGGCCTCCCAAGGTGCTGGGATTACAGGCGTGAGCCACCACGCCCAGCTAATTTTTTGTATTTTTAGTAGAGATGGGGTTTCACCGTGTTGGTCAGGCTGGTCTCGAACTCCTGACCTCAGGTGATCCACCTGCCTCAGCCTCCCAAAGTGCTGGGATTACAGGCGTGAGCCACCGTGTCCAATCAGGAGTTTAAATATATTTTAGAGACAAGATCTTGCTTTGTCACCCAGGCTGGAGTGCACTGACATGGTCATGGGTGGCTGCAGCCTAGAATTCCTGGGCTTAAGGGATCCTCCCAAGCAGCTAGGACTACAGATGCGGTCCACCACACCTGTTTATTTTATTTTATTTTTTTGGTAGAGAGGAGGTTTCCCTCTGTTTCCCAGGCTAGTCTTGAACTCCTGGGTTCAAGTGATCCTCTCGCCGCCTTGGCCTCCCAATAAGCCATCACACCTGGCCTTGAACAACATTATATTTAGGAAATATAAACTTTCTTCTTTTTTTTTTGAGATGGAGTCTTGCTCTGTTGCCCAGGCTGGAGTGCAGTGGCACGATCTCGGCTCACTGCAACCTCCGCCTCCCGGGTTCAAGCGATTCTCCTGCTTCAGCCTCCCAAGTAGCTGGGATTACAGGTGCATGCACCACCACACCCAACTAATTTTTGTATTTTTTTTTCTTTTTTTCGGGGTTTCACCATGTTGGCCAGGATGGTCTCGAACTCCTGACCTCGTGATCCACCCGCCTCAGCCTTCCAAAGTGCTGGGATGACAGGCATGAGCCACTGCGCCTGGCCCCAGGAAATATAAACTTTCTACTGATTTCCTGAAGGAAAGCTAAAATAAGGTTAGCTGAGCAAAATATTCTGGGCTGGTGAAGGGAGAATGTAATTTACATATCAGTGATTGTCAAATTACAGTGATGAAGATCATACCTCTTGTCAAAATACTGCATGTGGGAGGTTTGTTCACAACATTTTTAGGTTTAGCAGAAAGAAGCGTGGGCTAAAAAAAAAAAAAGGTTAAAAAATATTCCATGGCTTGCAGTGAGCCGAGATCGCGCCACTGCACTCCAGCCTGGGCGAAAGAGCGAGACTCCGTCTCTAAATAAATAAATAAATAAATAATCCATGAAACGGCAGGGCGCGGTGGCTCACGCCTGTAATCCCAGCACTTTGGGAGGCCGAGGCGGGAGATCACAAGGTCAGGAGATTGAGACCATCCTGGCTGACACGGTGAAACCCCATCTCTACTAAAAATACAAAAAATTAGCCGGGCGTGGTGGCAGGTGCCTGTAATCCCAGCTACTCGGGAGGCTGAGGCCGGAGAATGGCGTGAACCTGGGAGGCAGAACTTGCAGTGAGCCGAGATCCCGCCACTGCACTCCAGCCTGGGCGACAGAGCAAGATCCTGTCTCAAAAAAAAAAAAATATATATATATATATATATTATATATTATATATATATAAAATATATATATATGTATGTATATTCTATGAAACACCCTTCATTAAAACTGCATGCAAAATGCTAAGCAAATGTGTATTTTTCCAGGGAAAGGATCTGTGTAGAGTTCTTCAGCTCCTCCAAGGGGTCCAGACTCAAAACAGATTAAGAACTACTGTTGTACACGAGGAAGAAGCGTGGCAGCTGAAGATCCAGCTCTGGGAATGCAGGAAGAAGTGGAGTCGAAAAAACAGGTTATGGAAGATGCTTAAGGGTTTTAGATACGATGAATTAATGTTAGCTACATTATAATGATTGTACTAGTTAATGTCAGTTTTGTAAAAAGTGTTTTTATAGTTGTTGGCATATATAAAACTTGCACAAGAGGGTTTATTAATTTGGCCTATATAATTATTACTTCCTTGAGTAAGGGAAAGGATTGCTTTAATATGAACCCAACGTAGCCAGTGTAAAAGGTTTTCATTTTAAAAGCCTTTGGGAGATATCATGTGAAAATGGCCGTGGGAACAGGGGAGCTGCTGAAACTAGCTGGAAATCATGACCGGCTTAGCAAGAATGGGCATGCAGAGAACCAGAGTACCAACCTAAACAAAACTGGTGTCCAGGATACAGGGAGGGTTCAGAACCATCCGAATGTCAATCAAGAACAAATGCCAGGCTCCAGGAGATTCAGGAAATTCAGGAATCAAGGACAGTGAAAGAACCAGTCATCGTGAAAAGCCACGTACTAGAAACAGTCCATAAAGAAGCACCAAGAGAACATTTTGAGCTGATTTCAAGGGGAAATTATACCCTATTCCTCCACTACAAGTTGGCCTGGGACCTTGTGCCACCCAGAGTGACGATAGGATCTAAAGGTGATTGCTTGGGAAGCCTAGGGGGCATTTTGGAGATGTGTGGGAGGTATTGCTGCTTCTGTCACTGTTGAGGAAAGGTACTGCTTGACTGGCATTTAGTGGGCATGGACCAGGTAATTGAGACGTCCTGCAATTCTTTTTTCACAAGCAGTTTTACAGAAGGCTCAGCTATTTTGGAGAAGGTCCTTACAGAGAGGGAAGCTTATGTGGAAAGATACCGTCTTGATCTTATGGAAGAACACACTTTGCACAGTGTCTACTCCGTATATGACGGGGCAGTTACCTCTGCGCTCTGACAACAAGGTTGCAAATATAACCGGATATTGGAGATTCCTTTCCACAGAGTTATTAACGCTACATTGACACAGACACATGACATTTAGAGATCTCACTGAATTTCATTAACAAAGGCTGTTTTAAAATTCCTATTTCTAGACAGTATACGTAAAGCATTTTTTGGCAAGGTGAGAAACGTTATGGAAACTCCTCATGTGAGGTTTGGTGTTATGTTTCCATCTTAGTCTGACGTTTCCTCAAGGGGTGCCACACAACCCCCTCACAGCCTACTGTATACTCCCTTCCAATCCATGCTCCCCCAACTCCTACACAGCCTACTGTATACTCCCTTCCAATCCATCCTCCCCCAACTCCCTCAGCCGACTGTATACTCCCTTCCAATCCATCCTCCCCATCTCCTACACAGCCTGCTGTATACTCCCTTCCAATCCATCCTCCCCATCTCCTACACAGCCTGCTGTATACTCCCTTCCAATCCATCCTCCCCATCTCCTACACAGCCTACTGCATACTCCCTTTCAATCCATCCTCCCCCAACTCCCTCACAGCCGACTGTATACTCCCAATCCATCCTCCCCATCTCCTACGCAGCCTACTGTATACTCCCAATCCATCCTCCCCCAACTCCCTCACAGCCGACTGTATACTCCCTTCCAATCCATCCTCTCCACCTCCCTCACAGCCTACTGTATACTCCCTTCCAATCCATCCTCCCCATCTCCTACACAGCCTACTGTATACTCCCTCCCAATCCATCCTCCCCACCTCCCTCACAGCCTACTGTATACTCCCTTCCAATTCCTCTCCCCATCTCCTACACAGCCTACTGTATACTCCCTCCCAATCCATCCTCCCCCAACTCCCTCACATCCTACTGTATACTCCCTTCCAATCCCTCCTCCCCCATCTCTCTCACAGCCTACTGTATACTCCCTTCCAATCCATCCTCCCCCATCGCCTACTAAAGGCCACAGTCTCCAAGGTTTCGTTTTGTTTTACTTTTAAAGTATTAGAGACTGAATTTCTGCCTCAGACGGTGAAATTTCAAGGTAGAAAAATGTTTTCTGTGAAACTTTGTCATCACTATACCCTATCCTACAGCAAAATAGGAAGTTGGTTTTTGTTTGTTTTTGAGACAGAATCTTTCTGTGTCACCCAGGCTGGAGTGCAATGGCACGATCTTGGCTCACTGCAACCTCTGCCTCCCAGGTTCAAGAGATTGTCCTGTCTCAGCCTCCTGAGTAGCTGGGATTACAGGTGCCCACCACCACACCCAGCTAATTTTTTGTATGTATGTATGTATGTATGTATGTATGTATGTATGTATTTTATTTATTTATTGAGATGGAGACTTGCTTTGTCACCAAAGCTGTAGTGCAGTGACACAATCTTGGCTCACTGCAACCTCCACCTCCCGGGTTCAAGTGATTCTCCTGCCTCAGCCTCCTGAGTAGTTGGGATTACAGGCATGCGCCAGCATGCGCCACCATGCCAGACTAATTTTGTATTTTTAGTAGAGACAGGGTTTGTCCATGTTGGTCAGGCTGGTCTCGAACTCCCCACCTCAGGTGATCCACCCACCTCGGCCTCCCAGAGTGCTGGGATTACAGGCGTGAGCCACCGTGCCCAGCCTGGAAGTTGTTTTTTTTGAGCCCAGCTCATTTGTGAAAATATCACGTGCTCCTTATTTTCATACCCAAATTTCTCATATCCATAAACTTCCACATTTTATTTCTGTCAGAAGTATACAATCTCTTTCTAGATTTCCACCTCCTGTCAAAGGTATTTCCTTCTTTTGTTTGACATAAATGAATCAATCTAGTCTGTTATTACTTAAAGAAGTTTTTTAAAACCCAGTGTGTCAACCTATCTCTCTGCTCTTTTAACTTCCTTTACTTCTTTGTACTGCATAACTCTCCTAAACTCAAACTTATATTATTAGTAGCTTATCTGCAAAGAGGGAGAAGGGGTATCATGGAGTTGGGAGCTCCAGAGGAGGCAAAGGTTTTGGGTCACGGGAGAGTGCCATTGAGAACGGACAATGGATGCTGAGAAGGACAATGAGAATCAGTGGAAATAAGGCAACAGGAATTTGTGCTGAACATGGTCACCCTGGTTTCATGATTCTCCACAACAATATGGGAAGCTCAGAGGCAAAGAAAAAAACAAAAAACAAAAAACAGAGAGACCAGGGCTGATGGCAGGCATGGTAAACCTGGTCATGCCCCTCCTCTGCTTACAGTCCGTCAGAGGCTTCCCATTCCTTCAAGAAGACCTTCCAGATCCTTCACCGTCCGGCAGTGCCCATTTCTCCAGCTTCCTCGTGTATCACTCTCCCTTGGGCTTTCAAACTTCCATCACCCTGGCCGACTCTTTTCATACTCATGGCTTTTGCACATTCTGTTCCTTTTATCTATGTGTTATCTTCACTTCCAACCCTTGGCTTCAGCTTAAAAATCACTTCCTCAGAAAAGCCTTTCCTGGCCGGGCTTGATGGCTCACACCCGTAATCCCAGCAGTTAGGGAGGTCAAGGCAGGCGGATCACCTGAGGTCAGGAGTTCAAGACCAGCATGGCCAACATGGAGAAACCCCGTCTCTACTAAAAATACAAAAATTAGCCGGGTGTGGTGGCGTATGCCTGTAATCCCAGCTACTCAGGAGGCTGAGGCAGGCGAATCACTTGAATCCAGGAGGCGGAGGTTGCGGTGAGCCGAGGTCGCGCCATTGCACTCCAGCCTGGGCAACAAGAGAGAAACTCTGTCTCAAAAAAAAAAAAAAAAAAGAAAAAAAGAAAAAGAAAAAGAAAGAAAAGGCTTTCCTGACCCCTAATCCAATCAGAACTCTAACCATATAGTCTCTCAACATGTGCTTTACTTCTCTTTTATCGGATCTATCACAATTATATGTTTATTTGTACAAATGCCCTTTTCATACATAGAAATAGCTCTGTAGAGGCAAGCATGGGGTCTATTTTGTTCACTGCTGAATTCCCGGCACCTAGCTTGAGTACCTGTCGCTAACAGGAACAGGTGTTCAATAAATGTATTGACTAGCTTAATGAACGGCAGGAAGACTTAGGTATACGGCCTTAGGCAAATTTTTATTTTGTTGCTTGTTTTAACTAGATCTTCATCTCCTATCTGTTAGATGGGTATAGTAATAAAAACTAACAACCTCAGAATTGCTGTGTGAATTAAAAGAGACAATGCATGTAACATGCTTCGAATGGTACCTGTCATATAGTAAGGGCTAGGAAATTTTCCTTCTTATTATCATCATTAAAAATAAGCTCTCTGAGCAAACAGAACTCTCATACATTGCTGGTAGCAATGTGAAAGTGATACAGCCACTTTGGAAAACAGTTTACCAGTTTCTTAGAAAGTTAAACACAGACATATCATATAACACAGCAATCCCACATCTACATATTTACCCAAGTGACATGAAAACTTATGTTCACACAAAAATCTGTACATGAATGTTTATAGCAGCTTTATTCATAATTGCCAAAAACTGGAAAAACCCATATGTCCTTCAACCAGGGACTAGATAAACAAATAGTGGTGTATTCATCTAGTGGAATACCAGCAAGAAGACATGAACCACAGATACATGCAACAACATGGATGAATTTTAGATACTTTATGACAGATGAAAGAAGCCAGACTGAAAAGGTGTCATACTGTATGATTCCATCTATATGATATTCTGGAAATATCAAAACTATAGGGACAGGCCAGGCGTGGTGGCTCATGCCTGTAACCCCAGCACTTTGGGAGCCTGATGCTGGCAGATCACCTGAGGTCAGGAGTTTGAGACCATCCTGGGCAACATGATGAAACCCTGTCTCTACTAAAAATACAAAAATTAGCCAGGTGTGGTGGCACGTGCCTGTCATCCCAGCTACTCAGGAGGCTGAGGCAGGAGAATCGCTTGAACCCGGGAGGCGGAGGTTGCAGTGAGCTGAGATTGCACCACTGCACTCCAGCCTGGGTGATAGAGCGAGACTCCGTCTCAAAAAAACAAAAACAAAAACAAAAACTATAGGGACAGAAATCAAGTCAGTGGTTGCCAGTGGATGGGGTGAGGCAAGAGGGAATTTGGGGGAATGAAATTGTCCTATAACTAGATTGTGGTAGTAGTTACATGGTTATATACATTTATTTATTTTGTTTTATTATTGTTTTCTTATTATTTGTTTGTTTGTTTTGAGATGGAGTCTTGCTCTGTCACCCAGGCTGGAGTGCAATGGTGCAATCTTGGCTCACTGCAACCTCCACCTCTCGGGTTCAAGTGATTCTGTGCACCACCACGGCCAGCTACGTTTTGTATTTTTAGTAGATAGAGACGGGTTTTACCATGTTGGCCAGGCTGGTCTCGAACCCCTGACCTCAAGTGATCTGGCAGCCTCGGCCTCCCCACGTGCTGGGATTATAGGCGTGAGTCACCATGCCCAGTCGTTTATACACATTTATCAAAACTCACTGCATCATAAATTGCAAGAGTAAATTTTACTGTATGTAAATATCTTAATTTTTTAAAGGAAAAAAAAAGTCCAAAATAAGTAGCTATAATTACCTTTTCCTTTTAGAAAAAGGCATTCATATTTTCTGAGCATGAGAGAACTACAGGCTCATTGTAGACATTTGGGAAAATGTACAAAGGATGTACATTCATCACGTGCAGAAAAGTAATATTTCCTTGCTGTGAGCTTTATTGGCACAGAATACACACAAAGCTGGGACCATGCTATGCATTTTTTAAATGAAATTATACATTTTGCTTTCTGAAATATATTGTGCATATTTTTCATGTCATTAATTTTCAAAATCATGATTTTATGAATCAATAATATTCTATGTTTACTTAAGAGACAGAGTCTCCCTTTGTGGCCCAGGCTGGAGTGCAGTGGCGCAAAGGAATCATTCCTCACTGCAGCCTCAAACTCCTGGGCTCAAGCGATCCTCAGTGGTGGGATGAGATCTAGACCCCTGATATTCAATCTCAGAAAGTCAATAATTCCCTGCCTCAGCCTCCTGAGTAGCTGGGGCTGCAGGCCTGTGCCACTGCACCAGGTTCAATGTATATTTTATTTTGTCTTTTTTTTCTTTTTTTAATGTATATTTTTTAGCATTCCTTTGTTGTTAGAAATTACATTGTTTATATAATTATTATTTGTCAATTAAAAATAAAAGAAAAAATCATACTGCTCCTATTTTTTACTTTGAGCAACTCTGATAACAACAACAAAAAAAAGTTCAGTGGGGCCAACGCGTTTCCCTCCTGGAGTTTCCCGGTTCACCTGGTGGAGCGGGTCCTCCTTGGGCTGCAATTCCCTCCTTCTTTTCAGTGTCTGCAGGAAAGGTGGTTTCACAGGGTGATCGGTGATCTGGCTTATTTGTTCCTTTGTGGGGGTAAGGGCTGGGCACCTCACTATTTCCTGTATTACCAGCTTGAATTTACATCGCGCTGTTAATGTTTAATCCTCTCCACATCGACGCGGGGTAGTAATTTGTTCCAAGTCACACAACTTATCAATGGTGGACTATTCAGGACTTAGATCCCGGATATTCAACCTCAGTAAACGTCTCCCCAGCTCCAGGGCGCTGCGTCATCTGGCTTTAAAAAAACGTTTCTGGCCGGGCGCAGTAGCTCACGCCTGTCATCCCAGCACTTTGGGAGGCCGAGGCGGGCGGATCACGAGGTCAAGAGTTCGAGACCAGCCTGGCCAACATGGTGAAACCTCGTCTCCACTAAAAATACAAAAATTAGCTGGGCGTGGTGGCGGGCGCCTGTAATCCCAGCTACTCGGGAGGCTGAGACAGGAGAATCGCTTGAACCCAGCAGGCGGGGTTGCAGTGAGCCGAGATCGCGCCGTTGCACTCCAGCCTGGGCAACAAGTAAGACTCCGTCTCAAAAAAAAAAAAAAAAAAAAAAAAGACGTTTCTCCCCATAAGGAGGCTGCAGTCACCTCGAAAAGCTTCTGCGCAGAGCCCGGCGCACGGGGAATTTCTATCGAGTGGGCACTGTCCCGTCCTACGAATGTCCTTGGCGACATCGCCACTCGCCAGCTGGGATCACGTCGCCCCCGTGGCCGGGGACACCCGCTGCCACTGACCGAGGGGGCCCCGGGAGCTGAGAGGTCGCCGCTGCGCTGCCCGCGGAGGCTGTGGGCTGCGGTTGGCGACGCCGCAGGGCTGACTTTCATCCGGGCGTCCTGCTGGAGGCCAGACCCTACCCCAACCTCGGGGTCCTCAGTGCGGGGCGCGCCTTGGGGAGGGAAGAGGCCCCGCCCATCCTAAGGACGCGCTGAGGCCACGCGGGGCCGCCGGGATACTGCGTTGCCCGGGAGACACCTGACGTGACAGGAACGCCGCCAGTCTCAGTCCGCCGTGATCCCACAGTTCCCCGGTCCCGGAAGTGCCCTGGCCTGCCGGAAGTGCCGGAGCGGCTGACAGAGCGGCTGACGGAGCCGGGCTCACCAGGTCGCTGCCGCGAGGGAGTTGCTGTGCTGGGGCCTGGGTGGCGGCTGGAGGCCTGAGTTGGGCTCGCGGCGGGGGTCGGCAGGGGGCCGGGTGGCGGAATGATGGAGGAGGAGGAACTGGAGTTCGTGGAGGAGCTGGAAGCCGTGCTGCAGCTCACGCCCGAGGTGCAGCTGGCCATCGAGCAGGTAAGCGTTCCGCCCCTCAGGAGGGGAAACGGGAGTGCGGGAGGGGAGACGGCAGCTCCGGGCGCTGGGGAGGCCGCGGCGGGTGGACGGAGGGCCGGGGGCTCGCGGCAGAAGGGAAAGTGGAGGTGGGGAGGTGGTGCGGGTGAGAAGCGGTTTCTGAATCAGAAGGAAAGGAAAGAGAACCCTTTCTAGGCTTTGATTGTCTTTGGCGAGGGCTGGGGGTTCTGGTGGTTTTGGGGAAAGGAATTGTGCGCTTAGAGAGGACGACGCTAGGAGAATGCAGGCCTTGGGTGCCATCCTCAGATTCTGGGGACTGTGGGGGCTTCATGCATTTACCAGACTCGTGCCAACGCCCCGGTTTTGCAAGCTGGCACCTCGTGAGTGGCTTGGAACTGGGGGAAGGGAATGACTTTAATTTCTGAAGCGGACGGCAGAGAAGAGAGAAAGTGTTGAAAAATGACATCGTTACCATTCTTAAAAGGTTGAGAATTCCTACCGTTGAATAGTTTGGGTGAGGTTGGAGAATACTCCCAAGGGGCCTCTTTTCCCTTCAGGAACTTTTTTTTTTTTTTTTTTTTGAGACGGATTCTCGCTCTGTCGCCCGGGCTGGAGTGCAACGGCACGATCTCGGCTCACTGCGACCTCCGCCTCCCGAGTTCAAGCGATTCTCCTGTCTCAGCCTCCTGAGTAGCTGTGATTACAGGCGCACGCCACCACACCCGGCTAATTTTTTTTTTTTTTTGGGGTAAAGACGGGGGTTTCACCGTTTTGGCCAGGATGGTCTCGAACTCCTGAGCTCAAGTAACCCGCCCGCCTTGGCCTCCCAAAGTGCTGGGATTACAGGCGTGAGCCACCACGCGCGGCCCTGCCTGCAGGAACTCTTGCCTTTGCAAGTTTATTGAGTTTTTAAGGCTAATGATATTAGAAATAGTGATTTTTTTCTTTTCTTTTTTTCTTTTTTTTTGTTTTCTGAGACGGAGTCTCGCTCTTTCGCCCAGGTTGGAGTGTAGGGGTGCCATCTCGGCTCACTGCAACCTCCGCTTCCAGGTTCAAGTGATTCTCCTGCCTCAGCCTCCTGAGTAGCTGGGACTACAGGCAACCGCTACCATGCCTAGCTAATTTTTGTATTTTTAGTAGAGACCGGGTTTCACCATGTTGGCCAGGCTGGTCTTGAACTCCTGACCTCAGGCTATCCGCCCGCCTCGGCCTCCCAAAGTGCTGGGATTACAGGTGTGAGCCACTGCACCCGGTCAGAAATAGTGATTTCTAATACTGCAGGGTATTGCTCCTGATAAACGGAGAAAATCTCCCTTAAAGGAATTGTCATGAAGTTATATGATTTAAGAAAGGGATTTATGATTGAGGAAATGGACAATTCCATTATGCCTTATTTAATGACCCCTGGGAAACTTTTTTTTTTTGAGATAGGGTCTTGCTCTGTTGTCCAGGCTGGAGTACAGTGGCATAATCGTAGCTCACTGCAGCCTCGAACTCCTGGGGCTCAAGTGATAACCCTGCCTCAGCCTCCCGAGTAGCTGGGACTACAGGTGCATTCATTGACGCTTCGATGTGTGTTTTTCCAGTAGTGGTTGGATTACTTATACAACCAACTTTGTCCTAGCCTGAGAACGCCAAACCATTGGGCAGGAAGCTTTTAGTGTTCCGGCCACACGGCTCCACCACTTACCTCCTTTTGCCAGAAAAAGACATAACATTTCTGTTGCTCTTTGGACTAGTGGGCTCTCATGGAAGAAAAGAATAATGCAGTCAGTTACTGTTTGGTTGACAGGTATCAGAAAAGCACATTTTTGCTATTTCTTTTGTTTGTTTCAACAGCTTTTGGGGTACAGGTGGTTTTTGATTACATGGATGAATTACATAGCGGTGAATTCTGACATTTTTCCTATTTTGTAAGAATAAGTTTGAGTGATAGTATAGCAGACATCTTTATGTCAAGCAGAATTCAGACATCATTATGTCAAGATGAATTCAGAATTTTTTCTTACTTTAGCACTCTGAATGAAATTCTGTAGTAGCATACTTGTAAAGAGTAGTGATGTGTGAGGAGTCAGGAAGGGTTGATAAAATGGAATCACATTTTACTCCAAGATGAAGTCCCAGAGTCATTGCATAAGGTGAAAATTGGCTGGGCTCGGTGGCTCACACCTGTAATCCCAGCACTTTGGGAGGCCAGGGCGGGTGGATCACGATGTCAGGAGTTCAAGACCAGCCTGGCCAACATGGTGAAACCCCGTCTCTCCTAAAAATACAAAAATTTAGCTGGGCATGGTGGCAGGTGCCCGTAATCTCAGCTACTCGGGAGGTTGAGGCAAAGAACTGCTTGAACCCGGGAGGCAGAGGTTGCAGTGAGCTGAGATGGTGCCACTGCCTTCCAGCCTGAGCGACAGAGTGAGACTCCATCTCGAAAAAAAAAAAAAAAAAAAAGGCGAAAGTCACTCTAGACATGAAAATCACTCTGCCCTGAAGTTCTTTAAATTGCCCATGAAGGCCGGGTGTGGAGGCTCACGCCTGTAATCCCAGCACTTTGGGAGGCCGAGGCGGGTGGATCACAAGTTCAGGAGATTGAGACCATCCTGGCCAACACGGTGAAACCCCTTCTCTACTAAAAACACAAAAAATAAGCCGGGTATGGTGGCGAGCGCCTGTAGTCCCACCTTCTCAAGAGGCTGAGACAGGAGAATGGCATGAACCTGGGAGGTGGAGCTTGTAGTGAACCAAGATCGCGCTACTGCACTCCAGCCTGGGTGACAGCGCGAGACTCCGTGTCAAAAAAAAAAAAAAAAATTGCCCATGAAGTACCACGTATGCATCTCTGATAAGTCTAGGGCTGTTAGTTTTTTTCCTCCATCATTGGAACCAGTCATTCTTTTTTCAGCTGGCTTTTGTTAGGAGCCTTGTTACATGAAAACAATTTAAAACCTAGGACAGCACTAAAACCTAGGAGTCGTGAGAGGAATACAGAAACTGAGAGCAACTTGAGGAAATAGTTTGTATCTCTTGTATCCTGCTCTCTGTGGGTTATACTTTCCCTCTGGTGAGCACGTATCATTGAGACTGTGTAAATAACCTGTGTATATGTGCATTATGGAAACAGCAATGCTGAACATTTTAAAAAGAAAACATCTTCACTTTCTTCTCATCCACCTCCTCTTGATGTGGTAGAAGGCTTCAGCTTTTCTAACAGTTGTCTTGAAGATATTTTGATTTTTTGACTCTATATTTCTTTGGAAGGCTTCTTCAGAGATGAAGTTGCTTCCCACAGTTGTAACTCTATCAAGCTGGGTGAGACCCAGTGTCCAGTGGATAATTTGGCTGCTTGTATCATCCACCTTGTTGCGTGTTCTTCAGGTTGTTAGGGAGTTAGCTGTATGTCTTAGAGGTGGACTGTTTTTGAGAGAGGATCTCACTCTGTCGCCCAGGCTGGAGTTCAGTGATAGAATCTCGGCTCACTGCAACCTCAACCTCCTGGGCTCTGGTGATCCTCCCATCTCAGCCTCCCACGTAGCTGGGACTATGACAGGCATGTGCCATGGCACCCAGCTAATTTTTTTTTGTAGAGATGTGGTTTCACCATGTTGCCCAGGCCAGTCTCCAACTCCTGAGCTCAAGCGATCCGCGCAGCCTTATTTTAATTAATTAATTAATTAATTTAATTTTGAGACAGAGTCTTGCTCTTTCGCCCAGACTGGAGTGTAGTGGTGTGATCTCGGCTCACTGTAACCTCCGCCTCCCGGGTTCAAGCAATTCTCCTGCCTCAGCCTCCTGAGTAGTTGGGATTACAGGTGTGCGCCAACACCACACCCAGCCAAGTTTTTATTTTTAGTAGAGACCTGACCTCAGGTGATCCATCTGCTTTGGCCTCCCAAAGTGCTGTGATTACAGGCATGAGCCACCGTGCCCGGCCCTTTCCTTTTAATTGACAAATTAAAATTATATATATTTACGGTATACTACATGTTTTTATATATACTCCTCTCTTTCTATATAGGTGTTTCCAAGCCAGGACCCTCTAGATCGAGCAGATTTCAATGCTGTTGAGTATATCAATACCCTGTTCCCAACCGAGCAAGTAAGTAGAGTTTCAGGTTTCCTTCCTTTCAGCAGCTTTTGGCACATCTTGGGTGTTATGCTTCGTGTGTTACACTAGATCATCTACGGGCCCTTGATACACAAGGGAGAGTTAAATTCAAATCAAACTCCATCATCACCAGCTGGGGCAGTGAGCTACACTGTGTTGGAATGGAATTCATTGTATAGTGAACATATTATTAATAATTGTACTCTTAGGTTGTGAGAGTCCTCCCAAATTTTCTGCTGTAAATTGAAAGTGGAAAGGATTTTTATAATGTAGTAGGGACAAGTGGGGGTGAGGCAGGCAGGATAAGCCCAGAATCATAAAGCCACTTTCACCTCTATTTCAAGATGTAAATTTTTATTTCTATTTATTAGTTTTTTTGAGACGGAGTTTTGCTGTTGTCGTTCAGGCTGGAGTGCAATGGCGCGGTCTCGGCTCACTGCAACGTCTGCCTCCTGGGTTCAGGCGATTCTTCTGCCTCAGCCTCCTGAGTAGCTGGCACTATAGGTACCCACCATCACGCCTGGCTAATTTTTGTGATTTTAGTAGAGACGGGGTTTCAGCATGTTGGCCAGGCTGGTCTCAAACTCCTGACCTCGTGATCCACCTGCCTTGGCCCCCTAAAGTGCTGGGATTACAGGCGTGAGCCACTGCGCCCGGCCTCAAGATACAGATTTTTAGACTTCACGTTTTATTATTTTTTGTCCGGTGATTTTCCTGTGGAGATGGATTTTCTTACAAAATTGGTTTTTGGGTGTTTGGGTGAGAAGTAGACCAGAACTGGAAGTAGCAGAGTTGGGAGAAGGGCAGTGAGAGTCCCGCTTCGTTTCCATTTTTTCAGTCAGCAGTTGTTCAGTAGGTGCCTGTCATGTGTTGTCAGTCACTGTGCTAGGTGCTGAGGGTGCAGAGATGATAAGGTCCAGTCCATGCCCTTGAGGTGTGCAGGATCAAGTGGTGGGAGACCCTGGCGAATGCCGTCAGTGACAGTGGGACAGTGCGGTAAGGAAACAAAGACCAGTTCTTCCAAGGAAAATCACAACTTCAGAGAGGAGGTAGCCTGTCTGCCGAGCTTGAGGGATTCATTCATGTATTCATTTAGTAAAACGTAGCAGTCGTTTATTAAATGTCTGCTAAGTGTCAGGTATTATTTTTAGAAACTAGGGAGAAATGTAAACATGACAAATCTGGTCTTGGTCTTATGGAGTCTAGTGTAGGGAGAAAGACAAGAAATAAACCAACAAATACACTAGAGATGATCAAACATGGTGGCCGTGATACCAGGCAGGTTCCGTGACAGAGCGTGCTGCGCCGTGATACCAGGCAGGTTCCGTGACAGAGCGTGATGCGCCGTGATACCAGGCAGGTTCCGTGACAGAGCGTGCTGCGGAGGGTCCTTTAAATAAAGGGGCTTAACGGGAAGTTCTCTGTGAGGTGGTTCCCTCTAAGCTGAGACCTGATGGACAGGAAGGAGTCAAGCTTGCAGCAGTCTGGCAGAACAGTATTCTAGACAGAGCCAGCAGCTAGGTATCTCTTCCAGGATGATGAGGGAAGGAAGGCGTGGGCGGAAAGAAACCCAGGTGCCGAGGCAAGAGACTGAAGGCACAACCTGTTCCAATATAATAAAGAAAATAGTTAAATAAGTAGAGTTATAATAGAAATAGGATATAGAGATGATTGTATATGGATATTATCAATCATTAGTCTTTAGTATTAATCTTTGTTTCATTATTACGACCAAGGAAAAACCAGGCCATACAGAGTCAGGAGACCAGAAGACAACAGTGAGAACCTCTGTCATGCCTGGATAAGGGCTGCTTGAAGGCACCTTGGTCTTGCGGTAGTGCCAGTGCCTGGGAAGGCACCCGTTACTTAGCGGACTGTGAAAGGGAGTCTCCCTTTCCCTGGGGGAGTTAGAGAACACTCTGCTCCACCAGCTCTCGTGGGGGGCCTGACATTCCCCAGGCCTGCCCACAGTCATCCGGAGGCTTCAGCATCTCCCTGTGGTGCTGTGCTTCAGTGGTCATGCTCCTGGTCCACTTTCATGTTCCACCTGTACACCTGGCTCCTCCTTTAAGTTCTTAGAAGATAGCAGTAGCAGAATTAGTGAAAGTGTTAAAGTCTTTGATCTTTCTGATAAGTGCAAAGAAAAAATGCTGACGTCTGCTGTCCTCCCTCTCTGCTTCGGCTACCACAAAGGGAAGGGCCCCCTGTCACGTGGACATGTGACTTGCTTGACCTTGTCAATCATTTGAGATGACCCACACTCCTTACCCTGCCTCCTTGCCTTGTATACAATAAATAGCAGTGGGTCCAGGCATTCGGGGCCACTATTGGACTCTGTGCATTGGTGGTAGTGGTGCCCCGGGCCCAGCTGTCTTTCCTACTACTTCTTAGTTTCGTGTCTTTCTACAATCTCTCGTCTCCGCACACGAAGAGAAAACCCACAAGGCCCCGTAGGGCTGGACCCTACAGAAGGCCCTTCTAAACACAGGACCAAGGCACAGAAACAGGAGACATAAGATGTGCACAGTGAGCAGAGACTCACAGGAGATGAGGCTGAGGAGGGAGAGCAAGGATCCTGGAGGATCTCTGTCCTCTAGGCTTATCGTTGCCAGTTTTTTTGGAGACCACATGCCTTTCAGTGAAATGCTTTTTTTCTTTCTTCCTTTTTTTTTTTTTTTTGAAAGAGAGTTTTACTCTGTTGCCCAGGTTGGAGTGCAGTGGCACAATCACAGTAACTGTGAACTCCCGAACTCTAGCGCTCCCACTACATCGGCCTTCTGAGTAGCTGCGACTACAGGCGCATGCCACCACACACAGCTAAGTTTTAAAATTTTTTTAGTAGAGACGAGATCTCACTACGAAGCCCAGGCTGGTCTCGAACTCCTGAGCTAATGTGATCCTCCCGCCTCAGCCTCCCAAAATGTTGGGATTACAGGCATGAGCCACTGCACCTGGCCCAAATATTTTTCACAGAACTGATTTTCTTTTTTTTTTTTTTTTTTTGAGACAAAGTCTCATTCTTGTCCCCCAGGCTGGAGTGCAATGGCATGATCTCGGCTCACTGCAACCTCTGCCTCCTGGGTTCAAGTGATTCTCCTGTGTCAGCCTCCTGAGCAGCTGGGATTACAGGGGCCTGCCACTACGCGGCTAATTTTTGTATTTTTAGTAGAGATGGGGTTTCACCATGTTGGCCAGGCTGGTCTCAAATTCCTGACCTCAGGTGATCCGCCCGCCTCGGCCTCCCAAAGTGCTGGGATGACAGGCGTGAGCCACCGCGCCCGACCCACAGAGCTGATTTTCACTTGGATAATTTTTAAGCCTGTATCCCCAGAATATTATATACATATGTGAGTACCAATTTTAAATGTTAGGCTTCAGTAGTATTTGCTATATAAATAGAAAATAAACATAGAGGCTTCAGTGTTTGCTCCTCACACCCCAGGGGGCAGTGTGGCAGACCCCGTGGGGACGTTCGCACCCTGCTCTGGAGGTTGCTGCTGTAGGCAGTGAGTATTCATTGAAGGACTTTTGGCAGGATAATGACTGGAGCACATTCACGTTTTTAAAATTCCGTCTGGCAGCCATGTGGAGGACGAGCAAGGGATGGAGGTGGGGAGAGACTACAGGCAGGAGACTCACGCAGTAGATCACTGGAAAGAGATGGTGAGACCTGGAGAAAAGCTGTGGGATAGAGAGAACCAGATCTGAGAGCTATTGAGGGGACCAAAGTCATGCAGTTTGGTACCTGAGGGCATGAAAGTAGAGGGTCATGGAGAATCCAAAATTCACTCATTCGTTTATTCAGTTAAAAAAACACCCACTCTACCTAGCTTTATAAGAAATCTGGGGTAGAGAAGTGAGCAAGACAGATATAGTCTACCAACACAGACTTCATAGTCTATCTTGATAGTTAATCTCACAGTAACAGATTATAGGTAAATTATGATGTTACAATGACTTGCTTGTGTAATTTTTTTTTTTTTTTTTTGAGACTGAGTCTCACTCTGTTGCCAGGATGGAATGCAGTAGCACAATCCCGGCTCACTGCAACCTCCAACTCCTGGGTTCAAGCGATTCTCCCGCCTCAGCCTCCTGAGTAGCTGAGTTTACAGACACGCGCCACCAAGCCTGGCTAATTTTTGTATTTTTAGTAGAGACGGGGTTTCACCATGTTGGCCAGGATGGTTTCAATCTCTTGACCTTGTGATCTGCCCACCTTGACCTCCCAAAGTGCTGGGATTACAGGCGTGAGCCACCACGCCTGGCCTGACTTGCTCATATAATTTTTAAATATTATTTGTCACTTGCTCTTATATAACCTTTACTACAACTGTAATAGTAATCTTTATTAGATACTTCCTGTGTACCCGACAGCACTCTAGGCACTAAACAGTGATAAACTCCACTTTGTTATCCTTCTTATTTTAGAGTAAGAATCACGAGGCACGGAAAGATAACACTCGGCTTAAATGTGATAGCGTTGCCATGAAGGAAGCATGCCAAATACAGTGACAGCAGAACCCAGGGCCTTACTTGCTCAAGATGGATTGAAAAGGCTTACTCCCTTGAGGAAATGGTGTTTTAGCTGAATACTACAGGCCAAGTTAATAATTTTTTTTTGAGATGGGGTCTCACTCTCTTGCCCGGGCTAGAGTGCAGTGGCACAATCATAGCTCACTGCAACCTCAAATTCCTGGACTCAAGCACTCCTCCCACTTCAGCCTCCTCAGTAGCTAGCACTACAGGTGTGTGCCACCACACCCAGCTGAGTATTATTATTATTTTGAGATGGAGTCTTGCTTTGTCACCAGGTTGGGGTGGGGTGGTGCCATCTCGGCTCACTGCAACCTCCCACTCCCTGGTTCAAGCAATTCCCCTGTCTTAGCCTCCCGAGTAGCTGAGATTATAGGCACGCGCCACCACGCCCAGCCAATTTCTGTATTTTTAGTAGAGATGGGGTTTCACCATGTTGGCCAGGATAGGATGGTCTCGATCTCCTGACCTCATGATCCATCTGCCCCAGCCTCCCAAAGTGCTGGGATTACAGGAGTGAGCCACCGCGCCCAGCCCCAGCTGATTTTTAATTTTTTTTTTTTTTTTACAGACTGGGCCTTGCTGTGTTGCCCAGGCTGGTCTGGAACTCCTGGCCTCAAGCCACCCTCCTGCCTCAGCCTCTCCGAGTGCTGGGATTACAGATTTGAGCCACTGTGCCTGGCCCTAAGTTAAGAATTTTGAACTGGTTTCTAGGTAGCCAGATTTGGCTGACTGGATGGGTAATGGCAGCTTTCCACTTTACCCAATTACTGAGTGTAAGGAGAAAGAGCAGGTTTCAGTGGCAGGTAGGGCTGGAGTGGGCTGTAAGGTGAGCCCAAGTTTGAACATACTCAGGTCATCCAGGTGGAAATAAGTTGTTGGGTATTTGAGTGCAGAGCTCTTGATCCCCATCATTGTGAATATTTTGGCAGATCCTTCCAAACTTTTTTTAATGGATATACTGATTTTTAAAATAAAGTTTAAAAGATGATATACTGTGTGATTGTCTTTTTTGAGATTTCACGAAAAGCCTTTATAGCTCATCATTTTGTATGAAAGGGGAATTTTAGGAATTAGCTGGAGATAGACATTTGGGAATAGCTAGGATAAAGATAGTAATTGCTGATTCACCAAAACAAAAAGAAGTGTTAGATTTGAAAATTTTGTAGGAAACCACCAGGTTCTCACCTCTTGTGGTGTGTGTGTATGTGCTGTATTTTTTTTTAAACTACTGAAAACTCAAGATCTTTGTTGTTCCACAGATTCAGTTCTGTGTCTTGTCTAATTATGCCCCAGGTATATGATAATGTACAGTCACGTTTCTTAGAGTAACTCAGAACATTTATGACACAGGGTTATCTTTACTTCTCTAGTCTCAGAGTTTCACTTAGCAGGTCATCTGAGTGAAATCTAAGCCAGATTCCTGTGGATCTTAATGAAAAGGTAGTAGAAAGTAGTGGCATAGCTTGAAATTTAACTATTGTCAGATATTGGGCAAAAACCATCTGTATACCTCATGGACCTCCAGTAAACACTTGTACATTATGAGTTTAGATTGTTTAAAGTAGATTTCAGTATTTCCAGAGTGAATTTAGTGTTACTGTGAGGAGGAGGGTGAGAATATGTTTCTGTTGAGTGGAAGTACTTGTGTGTCTGCGGTTGTCTGGAGCCTGTTGAGTGGCCTGGAATGGATGCCTCTTACTATTTCACCCAGCCAGGCCTGAGAGGAGCTTGGGATTTTCCATGCAGCAGAGTGCCTGTGGGGTTTAAATAGTAGCCAGGTTTGGTCGCAGTGGTCTAGAAAATCGTTTTAGCCTCCTAATAGTAAACTGAAGATAATCATTTGAAAGTTTGATTAGAGGAAACTAAATGAAATTTATGGAAAACTAATACAAAACTAACATAATTAGGAACTTTGAGAAAAGAGTTATATGGGGATGTTTCTAAAGAGTTTCTGGTGACCCCAAAAATGCTCTGGATCTGTATTGTTAAGAGAAAAAAAAACCCAAGATCCAGCTCATGGCTGTATTCTCTAATCCCAGCACTTTGGGAGACCAAGGCGGGTGGATCACTGAGGCAGGAGGATCGCTTGAGCCTGGGAGGTGGAAGTTGCAGTCAGCTGAGATCGTGCCACTGCACTGCAGCCTGGGTGACAGAATGAGATCCTGCCTTAAAAAAAAAAAAAAAAGATGCCAAATTGCTTATCATCCCAGTTTATTTTTGTACAGCTATACAGTTTCGTAGTAGAAGGCAATACGCAAAAATTCTGATTGTGGTCATACTGTCCTGGGTGTGCAGATGACTACCTATTTTCTGTAATTGTCAAGAATTACCATTAGAATCAGGAAATATTTTGCAATAACTAAAACATTTAAAAAGTAAACAAAACTGTACAACCACATTATAACTAAACGAGATGAGTGATTCTCAAAGCAGGATAAACCCCTCTGCCCAGCCAATGTGGATTCCCACAGGGCTTTTCCCCAACTCCAGGAGAGGCCCTCGACCCTGGTGAGGATCACTGCCATAGCCAGACACTGAACTAACTGATGAGAGTGGGTGTGTCATAGCTGTCCGGTGTCTTGGGGTGCAGGAAAATTAGGTCAAGAATCATTGCGTTAGAGGTAGATGCTAGAGTAAGAAAGAGGATCTCTGCAGCTTCAGGCAAAGCACCTGTCCTGCAGAGCACGTTTCCCATCTGTTTTTTATTTGAGGTGGGATCTCTGCAGCTTCAGGCAAAGCACCTGTCCTGCAGAGCACGTTTCCCATCTGTTTTTTATTTGAGGTGGGTTCCCACTCTGTCACCTAGGTTGGAATGCAGTGGTGTGATCTCGGCTCGCTGCAACCTCTGCCTCCCAGGCTCAAGCGATCCTCCCACCTCAGCCTCCTGAGTAGCTGGGACCACAGGTGTGCACCAGCAAGCCCAGGTAGTTTTTTGTATTTTTGGTAGAGACAGGGTTTTGCCAGGTTGCCCAGAGACTGGTCTTGAACTGCTGAGCTTAGGAAACCCACGTACCTTGGCCTCCCAAAGTGTTGGGATTACAGGCATGAGCCACCATGCCCGGCCTCCGCCTCCATAGTTCCCAATCTTAACGTTGAAGAGGAGAAAAGTGTGCCTCGCCTGGCAGAGGGGATTAAGGGAAATAATTTCTGTGAAGTGCCTGCAATTGTTGCCTAGGAGATCCACATTAAATGCTAGCAGCCTTTCCCTTTCCCCTCCAGCAGAAAGCCTGGAAATGAAGGGAAAACAGTCACCCAAAGGCCACCTGACTATCAAATAGTGTAACTTTAGGATATTTCTTTCTCTTCTATTTATTTATTTATTGAGACAGAGTCTCCTTCTGTTATCCAGGCTGGAGTGCAGTGGCGCGATCTCGGCTCACCGCAACCTCTGCTTCCTGGGTTCAAGCAGTTCTCCTGCCTCAGCCTCCCGAGTAGCTGGGATTACAGGCACCTGCCACCACGCCCGGCTAATTTTTTTTTGTATTTTTAGTAGAGACGGGGTTTCACCATATTGGCCTGGCTGGTCTCGAACTCCTGACCTTGTGATCCGCCCACCTCGGCCTCAAAGTGCTGGGATTACAGGCATGAGCCACCGCGCCCAGCCTATTTTTATTTTATTTTTATTTATTTTTTCTTTTTGAGATTGTCACCCATCACCCAGGCTACAGTTCAGTGGCTCCATCACAGCTCACTGTGCCCTGGAATTTACAGACTCAATCAGTCTTCTTTCCTCAGCCTAATAAGCAGATTGTACTACAGGCGTGTGCTACCATACCCGGCTAATTTTTCTATTTTTTTGTAGAGACGGAGTTTCACCACGTTGTCCAGGTTGGTCTCTAACTCTTGGGCTCTAGCAGTCCACCCACCTCAGCCTCCCAAAGGACAGACATAAGCCTCCACACCCGGCCTCTGTTCTTTTTAAAAGCTACATTCATTATATTATAAAAATGATATTATAGGGCCGGGTGCACTGCCTCATGCCTGTAATCCCAGTGCTTTGGGAGGCCAAGGCGGGAGCATTGCTTGAAGCCAGGAATTCAAGATCAGCTTGGACAGCATAGCAAGACCCTGTGTTTATAACAAAATAATAAAATTAGCCAGGCTCAGTGCATGTACCTTTTTGTTCCTAGCCACTCAGGAGGCTGGGGTGGGAGGATTGCTTGAGCCCAGGAGTTTGAGGTTACAGTGAGCTATGATTGCACCACTGCACTCCAGCCTTGGTGACAGAGTGAGCCGCCATCTTAAAGGTAGGCTATTTGATATTATAAAAATACTTGCTATCATAAAATGATATTAGAAATGTTTTCCTCTTGGCCAGGCGCGGTGGCTCATACCTGTAATCCTAGCACTTTGGGAGGCCAAGGCGGGCAGATCACGAGGTCAAGAGATCGAGACCATCCTGGCCAACGTGGTGAAACCCCGTCTCTACTAAAAATACAAAAATTAGCTGGGCGTGGTGGCATGTGCCTGTAATCCCAGCTACTCGGGAGGCTGAGGCAGGAGAATCGCTTGAACCAGGGAGTCGGAGGTTGCAGTGAGCCGAGATCGCGCCATTGCACTCCAGCCTGGTGACAGAGCTAGTCTCCATCACACACAAAAATATATGTATATATATAATTATATATAAATTAAAGTAATTTTTCTGAGATTCGTTTTTCTTTTTTTTTGAGACAGGGCTGTTTAGCCCAGGCTGGAGTGCAGTGGTGCAAACATGACTTACTGCAGCCTCGACCTTCTGGGCTCAGGTGATCCTCCCACCTCAGCCTCCTGAGTACCTGGGACTGCAAGCACATGCCACCATGCCTGGCTAACTTTTTTTTATTTTTTGGAGAGATGGGATCTCACTGTATTGTCTGGGCTGGTCTTGAATTCCTGGATTTAAGTGATCCTCCCACCTTAGCCTCCCAAAGTGCTGGGATTACAGGCATGAGCCATCACGTCCAGCCTGAGATTCATTTTTACCTCAAGCTGTTCTTGGATTTCTGAAAATTCTGAGTAACTGTTGGCTTGGTCAGAACAGTAGGATGAGCTGTGACAACCCAGTCTGACATCTCAAACACTCATGGCCTGTTTCTCTTACCAGACCTGCTCCTGGAAGGCACCTGGCCTCCTCCTCCCATCAGAGGTAGCCAGAAGCAATTTATAAGCATATTTCCTACAATATCCCTAATTCCTTCTGAGATAAAATATTTGTTAAGGGAGAGAGGAAGAGGATTTATTAAATTGTATTTTGAAAACTTGAATTAAAATAGTACTATAAAATTGTACCTCCTCTTGTCCATTAGGGGGCACCATTTCCTCACATTTTCTCATCTCTAAGGTCAGAAGTGATCCCTTTGTTTTAATTGTTGTTATAATAAGCTTATTATAATCACAGTAGTAGTGCATAGTCAATAATTATAAAATACAGACAAAAAGAAGAAAATATTTTTTTTTGAGACAGAGTTTTGCTCTTGTTGCCCAGGCTGGAGTGCAATGGCACATTCTCAGCTCACTGCAACCTCTGCCTCCCGGGTTCAAGCGATTCTCCTGCCGCAGCCTCTTGAGTAGTTGGGACAACAGGTGCCCACCACCAAGCCTGCCTAATTTTTTTTTTTTTGTATTTTTAGTAGAGATGGGGTTTCGCCATGACGGTCTGGCTGGTCTCAAACTCCTGACCTCAGGTGATCCGCCTGCCTTGGCCTCCCAAAGTGCTGGGATTACAGGCGTGAGCCACTGCACCCGGCCCAAGAAGAAAAATTTGAAATCACTTCTTTTCATATTGCAATACGTAGTTGATAGATTATAGCTACTAATGCTGCAACTACTAATACATTACAATTACTCCTATCTATCCTTCCAGACTTTTTTCTAGTGGATCTATATAATAAAAAATAAATTTGTGTATTTATTGAAGTATAACATAATACAGAGGAGTACACAAATCTTAAGGGTACAACTTGATGAAGTTTCACAAAATGAACATAGCCATGTAACTGCCACCCAGATCAAGAAATAAAACATTTAAAAAAATCTTCAGAAGGCCTTTCCTTGCCTGTTCACTGTCACTACCTTCCCCCAGAGATAACCACTGTCCTAGCTTCTAACAGGAGAATTATGTTAGTGAAATCATATCCTCTGTCCCCTTGTGTCTGGCTTTTTCTGTGCCCCATTCCGTTAGTAAAATGTTTATCCATGGTGTTGTGCATTCATTCATTTTTGTTGCTGTATTTCGTTACGTGAATTTGTCACAATCACGTACACCATGGGTCAGCAGACTCTCCTGTAAAGGTCCAGATAGTAAATACTTCAGGCTTTGTGGCTGTACAGCGTCTTTCACGACTGCCTACCTGCCATGTTAGCTTAAGAGCAGCCGCAGGCAATATGTAAGTGAACGGGCATGGCTGTGTTCCAGTGAAACTTTATTTACAAAAAACAGGGGCTGGGCTAGATGTGGCTGTAGCTTCCAACTACTGCTTTACTTTTTTTTTTTTTAAAGCAAAACTCATATCATGTGATTAAATTTTTTGAGATTTCATAAGTAGCTATTATAGCACATCATTTTCCTGTGAAAGAGGAATTCCAGGAAGTGGACTAACAGCTGGGCACTCTTCCTTCTTTATTGTAGTCTCTGGCGAACATAGACGAAGTCGTGAACAAAATTAGGCTGAAAATAAGGTGAGTAAAGCTGTGTGATTGTTCATAATTAATGAAAAGTATATTGTTAATTTAGTTAATCACATTCTGGATCACATTTTTCTGTGAGAGCACTGAAATCTCAAGTTTGCCATAGATGGTAATATAATTCCTTTTAAAATTTTTATTATTTATTTATTTATTTTTGAGACGGATTTTTGCTCATTGCCTAGGCTGGAGTGCAATGGTGTGATCTTGGCTCACTGCAACCTCCACCTCCCAGGTTCAAGTGATTCTCCTGCCTTAGCCTCCCTAGTAGCTGGGATTACAGGTGTGAGCCACCACGCCTGGCAAATTTTGTACTTTTAGTAGAGACGGGGTTTCACCATGTTGGTCAGGCTGGTCTCGAACTCCTGACCTCAAGTGATCCACCTGCCTTCGCCTCCCAACGTGCTGGGATGACAGGGGTGAGCCACCGCACCCGGCCATATAATTATTTTATCCATATGAACTTTGTGGCAAGGAACTCAATGCTTTGGCCAGTCTTCAATTCTTCATACAAAAGGAAGGAAGCTGTGATAGAGTCTACTCAAAACATCTTTTGTAATTATAGAAGGAGGCAAAAGCTTTTCTGATAGATTTTTTTTTTCTTTTTTTCTGTTTTTTTTTCAAAACAAGGTCTTACTCTGTGTCCCAGGCTGGAGCGTACTGGTGCAGTTACAGCTCACTGCAGCCTCGAACTCCTGGGCTCAAGTGATCCTCCCACCTCAGCCTCCTGAGTAGCTGGGACTACAGGCGCACCACCACACTTTGCTAATGTTTATATTTTTTGTAGAGATGGGGTTTCGCCTTGTTGGCTAGGCTGGTCTCAAACTGCTGAGCTCAAGCAATCTGCCTGCCTCAGTCTCCCACATCTACTAGATTTTTTTTTTTTTTTTTTGAGATGGAGTCTGGCTCTGTCACCCAGGCTAGAGTGCAGTGGTGTGATCTTGGCTTACTGTAATCTCCACCTCCCAGGTTCGAGCAATTCTTGAGCCTCAGCCACCCAAGTAGCTGGAATTATAGGCATGCACCACCATGCCCAGCTAATTTTTGTGTTTTTAGTAGTTACAGGGTTACACTGTGTTGGCCAGGCTGGTCTTGAACTCCTAGCCTCAAGTGATCTGCCTGCCTTGGCCTCCCAAAGTGCTAGGATTATAGGTGTGAGCCATTCTGTCTGTCCTTCGACTAGCTTTTTAATGGCTTTATTTCCCTGTTTTTGTGGATTTACCTGTTTTTGTGTTCCCAAGGCTTAGACATGAAGATGGGCTTATATGTGTATCCCTTGGTCACATAACAGCTAACCATGTCAGATCTGCTGGTGGGTTGGGTGGTGGCCCATGATTAAACATTGTGAACCGTGGGGGCAGAGGAGCTGGAAGCCGTAGATCTGCCTCAGGCATGGATTGCATGATCAGGGCCCGGAAGCACTGATTCCATCTATCACTCTGGCTCTTTCCGCCTCATAAGGGGACCGAGAAAGGGATTGTGTGTGAGGTAATTTGAGTTATCTGGCATGTTCACGTAAAGGCTCCGGAACTTTGTCATTCCTGATGTACTCCATGAAAAATCCTGCAGATTTTATTAGTCCTTTCAGATAGCTCTGACTATTAAGTGAAAATAGGCATTTTTAACAACAAGGCGATGCATCAGCCTGCACTGGGCTTGACTTCCCGCACGGCTGTCGCTGCCCTCCTCCTGCCTGATGCCACTCACACATGTTTGGTTTTCTGGACAATTAGGTGCAGTCTGCAGAAGTTGATGAATAAATTACTTTTTACTTTTTTTCTTTTGGTCAACCTAGAATAAAGATTATTTGAATGACTGTATCCTTGAACTGTTTTGCTAGGAGACTGGATGACAATATTCGAACTGTTGTAAGAGGTCAGACGAACGTGGGGCAGGATGGACGGCAAGTAAGTAACTCATTCCTCCATATTACCTATGCTCCCCTGGTTTCTCCCGGCAACCAGATGACCAAAACGTCGATGTGCCCTCTTGCAGAGCACTTTCCGATTGATCCGTTTCATACATGGCAGGACAAGACAGGGCAGGCGCCCACAGCAGCCACGTGCTGTCCCTCAGTGTCCCTTGGACCAGGACCGTGAACTGTGGCACCGCTCACCCGAGGCCAGATGAGAACACTGGGGCTTCCTTGTCTTTCTCCTTCGTGTCGGGCATCTCTTGTGCCCTCTTTTATTTTGTGGGCTGTGGCTAAATGAGGTTGCTGCATTCGTCAGCTGAGTTGTTGGGGTTTTGATATTTTGTGGCTGTAAAAGATAGTAACCTGACATAGTTACCATTTCCTCGTACCTCGCTTTGCCAGCAGGCAGGTGACTCAAGATTCATTAAAAAATTTTACAAGTTGGCCGGGCACAGCGGGCACAGCGGCTCACGCCTGTAATCCCAGCTACTCAGGAGGCTGAGGCATGAGAGTCACTTGAACCCAGGAGCCAGAGGTTGCAGTGAGGCGAGATTGCACCGCTGCACTCCAGCATGGACGACAGGGGTGAGACTGTCTCAAAAAAAAAAAAAAAAAAAAGTTTTATAAGTCTTATTGGATCTAGTTAAGGAGGCCATTGGAGGGAATGAAGTAAGTCTTACTGGATCTAGTTAAGGAGGCTGTTGGAGGCAATGAAGGGAAAAGTGTGTAGGGAGGAGATACTCTTTAATAATTGAGGGGCCAGATGTTATCTGTGAACCATTTCCCTTTTTATTTGATTCTGTTCTTCTGTTGAGGCATCGTATTTCAGAATGGCTGTTGTAGTAGAAATGCTGAGCTTGCCTTTCTAGCCGTCCTCTCTTGCCATGTCCTGTCCTCCCTTATCAGCACTAACTCAGGTCAGGACTGCTTCTTTGCAATTGCTTCAATGCTGTGATTTCTCCTCTTTGACATTTTTTAGGACAGCTAATTTCTAAAAATGTTCATCCTGCTGCCCAGATTTGGAGTGGGAGGAGCATATAATCCTACGCTGAAATTTCCAGATCTCTGATATTTCTGTTTCCTTCTGCCAGTTGCTTACAGATATTAGGAGTCTCTTTCTTTTACATCTGTAGTTTTCCCATCTGTCTATTTTTACTACTTTATATCACTTTCTTTTTCCATTTTTCCACTTTATAGTCACTTTCCATTTGATAGCCAGTTTCCTTTGGCCTGTTTGTGAGTAGCTGGCCTTCTTGTCATCATCAGAATTTGTGTGTAGACACATTAGGTTCCTAAAACTGTTCTGGTTTTCTGGACTCCTGTATTTTTTTTAGCCCTCGTTACCTCGTTTTGTCTGTTGAGGTATATTTCATGAAGCATGGCTTCTTTGGCAGATGAGGCCCATGTAAATGGGACCTTCAGAGGGGTCCTACAGAGGGACAGGGCAGCCTCAAGCACTCCAGCTGCATTCTGCTGCTTAGCTGTCCTAATCTGTGTTTGATCGTATTGTCTACCTCTTCAGACACCGTATCAGCTCTGGCCACTAAATGAAATCCAAGGCCAGGCATGGTGGCCCACACCTGCAATCCCAACACTTTGGGAGGCCGAGGCGGGGAGATCACTTGAGCCTAGGAGTTCAAGGCCAGCCTGGGCAACATGACAAAACCCTGCATCTTCAAAAAGTACAAAATTAGCTGGGCATGGTGGTGGCCTGTGCCTGTAGTCCCAGCTACTGAGGAGGCCGAGACAGGAAGATCAGCTGAGCCAGGAAGTTCGAGGCTGCAGTAAGCCATCATCGCGCCACTGCACTCCAGCCTGGGAAACAGAGTGAGACCCTGTTTAAAAAAAAAAAGAAATCCAAATTCCTTTGCTTGGCATTCAAAATTCTGGTCTCCAATTCCAGTTTTGCCTCCTCTTGTGTTCTGTCTACACTGAAGACTTTGTGCTCTACGAGCATGCCTGTGCTTTCTGGACCTGTGCTTACAGACTCTTTTGTGCTTGAAATGCTTTTCCTCCTATTTCTTTAAGCCGCCGCATTTCCCAATCTTACCCATCCAAGGACCAGCTCAGATACTAGTTTCTTGACGATGTTTTCCATGGACCTTATCTGAATACACCAAGGAATCAGAATTTTGAACTGGAAAGGATTTGAAACTCATCTGGGCCCCTCCCCTCATTTTACAGAGGAGAAAATGGATTCCAGTGTCCCTCGATGTCCTTTCTCCATAAATCCCACAGCCCCATTCTTGTACTTTTCATTTGGCTTTTGGGGTCTCCCTTGACTTACCAGAGAACAAGTCTCATCCCTTTGATGTTTGTAAGCTCCTGGAAGGTAAGAACTGTATCTTTGTCATCTTTCTATTTCACTACACATAGGCCACATGCAATAACATTTTATTCAACTGAGCCAGGCACAATGGCTCATGCCTGTAATCTCAACACTTTGGGATGCCTAGGTGGGAGGATGACTTGAGGCCAGGAGTTTGAGACCAGCCTCGGCAACATAGCAATACACGTCTCTACGAAAAGGTAAAATAATTAGCTGGGTGTGGTAGTACAAGCTTCAGTGAGCTGTAATGGTGCCGCCGCGCTCCAGCCCGGATGACAGAGCGAGACCCCATCCCCAAAAGCAACAGCAAAACCCCCACAACATTTTATGCAACTGTATTGAATATTTTGTCTGTCTAAGATTGTTTATTAATTATAAATAAACAAAAACATTTTATCATAAAAACATCATTTTGATCAGCAAGTGGGTGTTCCTTAAAAGTGATTTAGAACTTGCTTTGTGCATTAAGAGTCCCAACTTGCTGCTACTGGGAATAGTAACACTGCTTGTTCAGTGTGATTCAGCCTACATTTGGAATGGCTCACTAGAAGTCTTACAGTGCAGGAGTCATAGATGTTTAAAATTTCAAGAATGTGAAAATAGTGAGTGATTCATCGGCATTTTTTGTTGGGTCATGCTGTGCATAATAGATGTGTATCTTTCAGTTATTTACGTTTCAACCTGTGGTTCTGGACTCTTGCAAACTAGCGGTATTACAGAGTCAGACCCAGAATTCGACAGTCTGCAGGAATGTCGGCGTTCTCCCCCATCCCGTATTAATAGGTTACAGGTTGCCGCAGCAGAGCAGGTCGTATTTCACAGAGCAAGACCACATTTTCAAGAATGTTTAGATAGCATTTCAATCTGTGATGGAACTTTGTATTCGTCTCCTTAGAATCCAGACAGAAAGGAAGCCCAGAAGAAATAACTGCTTTTCCTGTCATGGCCCCATCTGTCTTTTCCAGCACTTTGTAATGCAAACTGAAGTACAAGCTTTTTTTTTTCCAAGGAGCTCTTGGGTCCTGTCCTTGTCAACTCCTAGGTATGAAAGCCTTGCTCTCCAGCCCTGGCTGGCTGGTTTGCTAAAAGGAGTCTATTTGACTGCAACAGACTTGGTGGAATTACGGATGTTCCAAAATACTGAGTTTTGTAGGTCAAGAGGCCCCACGTTCCCCTCTTCCCTGGAAGAGAAGAGAAGTTTGCTTTCAGCACTCGCTTCCTAAGCTTCTGAAGAACACTCAGAAGGGAGTGGCATATGGACAAAAGGAGGTTTTCGTTTTATAAATTTAATCTTGATTGTGTTTAACCAGAACCGATGTGCCGCTTTTAAATTTGTATTTATTATTATCATGTTAGGGACAGGGTCCTGCCTTGTTGCTCAGGCTGGAGTGCAATCATTTTTCACGGTAACCTTGAACTCCTGGGGCCAAGTGATCCTCCCACCTTAGCCTCCGAAGTAGCTAGGACTACAGGCATGTGCCACCACACACAGCTATTTTTAATTTTTAATTTTTTATTTTTGGTAGAGATGGGTTCTTGCTGTGTTGCCCGGGCTGGTCTTGAACTCCTGGCCTGAAGTGATCCTCCTGCCTTGGGCTCCCAAAATGCTGAGATTATAGGCATGAGACACTTATTATTACAAGTCGTCCCCACTTACCTGTGGGGGATACATTCCAAGACCCCCAGTGGATGCCTGAAACCCAGAGAGTAGCAAACCCTATATATGCCATATTTTTTCCTATGTATACATACCTGTGATAAATTTTAGCATGCAAATTAGGCACAGTAAGAGATTCACCACAATAACTGAAAATAAAATAGCACAATTATGACAGTATGCCAGCATCACTCCTCTTGTGATTTGGAGCTGTATGTAATAGCCGAGATGGCTGCTAGGCTATACCCAGCCTAGATGTGCTTCTTGCTTCTTTGTTTTTTGTTTTGTTTTTGAGTCAGAGTCTCGCTGTCAGCCAGGCTGCAGTGCAGTGGTGTGATCTCGGCTTACTGCAACTTCTGCCTCCTGGGTTCAAGCGACTCTCCTGCCTCAGCCTCCTGAGTAGCTGGGATTACAGGCATGCACCACCACGCCTGGCTAATTTTTGTATTTTTAGTAGAGACGGGATTTCACCATGTTGGTCAGGCTGGTCTCAAACTCCTGACTTCATGGTCCGCCCGCCTCGGCCTCCCAAAGTGCTGGGATTACAGGTGCGCACCACCATGCCCAGCTCATTTTTGTATTTTTAGTAGAGACAGGGTTTCACCATGTTGGTCAGGCTGGTCTCAAACTCCTGACCTTGTGGTCCGCCCGCCTCGGCCTCCCAAAGTGCTGGGATGACAGGCGTGAGCCACCGCACCCGGCTAGGTGTGCTTCTATATCTGTAAATAAGGGGAAAGTGTTGACTTCACATTCATGGTGTCTTAAATGACATTTTTAGCAGAAAAGTTGCTTTTGAAAAGCAATGTTTTTGACTCAAAAATTATTTGGGGGTAAGGAATGATTTAAATATTGAAGGCATAATTAGGTCATTTCTTGAGCTTCTTGAAGTTTCTGAAATACCAGCCGCTTGGTTAACATTCTGCTAAACGTTTGCAGAGTCTTTGTTTTTTGACCACCTTCTATGTGGGCCAGCTTGAACTGGTCTAGTCTGTGACCTCTTCTAACCAGACGATGATGCTCTTATAAAGTTTATATGGCACGGAATCCTCCCCATTTTTATCTGTTGAAATCATCAGTCAAAAGCTTTAATTAAATGCCCACGTTTAAAACTTTGTGGATGAGTCAATTCAACAAGTACATGATGTGGTATGCTATGAAATTTTTGCAGCTTCCCAAGAATTAAAATGGATGGCTTGAACGTAGGTGAAAGAGAGGTGAATAGAGGGGCGGGTTAGAGGAAGAAAAAGCCGGCAGTGGGAAGTTTCAAGAGTGGCCAACGTTGACCGGTCGTCAGTAAGCTCTCAGACTCACAGGAGAGGATCAGCCACCGAGTTTCTGTCTCTTCAATGGAGCCTGGCTGCAATGTAGCCATTTCTTTGATCAGAACAAGAGTAAGGTTTGGGAGGAGAAGAGAATTATTACAAGTCGTCCCCACTTACCTGTGGGGGATACATTCCAAGACCCCCAGTGGATGCCTGAAACCCAGAGAGTAGCAAACCCTATATATGCCGTATTTTTTCCTATGTATACATACCTGTGATAAACTTTAGCATGCAAATTAGGCACAGTAAGAGATTCACCACAATAACTAAAAATAAAATAGCACAATTATGACAGTATGCCAGCATCACTCCTCTTGTGATTTGGAGCTGTATGTAATAGCCGAGATGGCTGCTAAGTGACTAATAGGTGCTGTATTCAGCATGGATATACTGGGTGAAGGAATGATTCGTGACCTGGTCAGGACAGAATTGGGTGGTGCAAGATTTTATCACACTACTCAGAATGGCGCATAATTTAAAATTTACTAATTGTCTGTTTCTGGAATTTTCCATGTAATATTTTTGGACCACAGTCAACTACAGGTGGCTAAAACCTCAGAAAGTGAACTGCTGATAAGGAGGGGGTGCTGTATTGCTCACTCCTTCGCTTTGGAAGAAGGATTAGGTAATTGTAGTACAATCTTCCACCCAGTTCAGGAGTCCTTTGTATTACATCTCTGACGTTTCATTATCTTGCAGAAGCTTGGCTACTTTCAGTGATGGGGAGCTTGCTACTTTGTTGGTCCACAGGACAGACTAGTTCAGTTTTATAGCTTTAGTTGTGAGAAACTCCTTTCTTAGACTGAACTGAAACAGTGAAATAGACTTCATTGTAACTTCTTGTTGATCTTAGTTCTGCCAGCTGGATGGGTGTAAGCCTAATCCCTTTTCCTTACTACAGCTTCTGAAATTGAAAATGGATATTATGTTCCTAAGTGTTCCCTTTTCTAGGCTAACCATTCTTAGTTTCTTCATCTTTATAATGCAATTTCCAGACCCTTTATCATCCTTGCTCTTGATAGCTGTTTGTCAGCATCCCTCTTAAAATGTGGTTCCCAGGAGTGGACATGCTGTGTCAACATATACACTGAGACAGTTGACCTCTTTGTTCTGGGCCGAGCTCATTAACTTAGGGACTGGGGGTCCAGAGTGTCTGTCAAGTCCCTGAAATTAACTGTAAATTTTTGTATGTCTAGACATATTTATGGGAGGAAAACTTATTGATTTTTCTAGATTTTCTAAGGAGTCTGTGACTCTTCAAAACTTAAGGGCCACCGATTTTAGACACTGTTCTTCCATTACCTTGGATTTGCTGAGATTTTTGATTGTAGACATTGTTCTTCCATTACCTTGGATTTGCTGAGATTTTTTATTTTAGACACTATTCTTCCATTACCTTGGATTTGCTGAGATTTTTGGCAGCCGTATTACATGGTTGGCTTCTACTGAGTTGGCAGTCACCTGAAACCCCCAGGTCAAGAGTCGCAAACAGATGTCCGCAGAGCTGGGAAAGTAACCTAAGCGGCGTAAGCAGGCTGGTGTGTGTCCACATGCATCCACCAGGTCCTAAGGGGATAGTCACAAGTGAATTCTAATCAGCTGTTGTCACGTCTGAACGCAGACCTGGAATTGCCAGATCTATCAGTTTTTCAAGAGCAGCCGGAAATCCGGATTTTCATGTAACTCTCACAATTTTTAACTATTGGCTTAGTGTTTTTCACAAACACTGCAAAGGGCAAACAAAACACATCTGTGGGCCAGTACTGTCCCAGGTCTTTCTTCATATGACTTTCATTTAAACTTTCTCCACCTCTGTTTGTGCAAGAGAGTCTTTGAAATTGTCAGACCGTGTGTGTCTCAGCTTTCGTTTCATCCCACTAGTTCTGCTCGATTGTTTATCCCATCAAGATCTTTGGGAGCCTTGATGACCTCCCCACTTTATCATTAGCAGATTTGCCAGACATGCCTTCTGTGTCTTCATTCAAGTTGTAGATGAAAAGGCAGAATGGAGTGGATTCAGAGCCGTGTGACGTGCCGTCAGAGGCTTCCTGTTCTTCCTCCTCACTTCAGCGCAAAGTGCCAGACCCAAAAAACAGGATTTCTACCTGTCTGTGTGTGTCGTCCGGGGCTGTTTCTTCATCTTCCCATGTCTTGATTTTCACCAAAAAAGGAGGCTGTTAATACTTGCCTTCTTCACTTTTACATAGAGATATCATAAAGATTATGAACTAAAGCAGCAAAGTACATTGCCTTCCAAGGAGAAAGTGTTCCTTGCTTTTCTTCCTCAAAATTAGCATATTATGCAATTCAAGCATTAGAACGAAAATAGGCCGGGCTTGGTAGCTTACGCCTGTAATCCCAACACTTTGGGAGGCGGAGGTGGGCGGATCGCCTGAGATCAGGAGTTTAAGACCAGCCTGGCCAACATGGGGAAACCTGGGCTTTACTAAAAATACAAAAATTAGCCAGATGCAGTGGTGCGTGCCTGTAGTCCCAGCTACTCACGAGGCTGAGGCTGGAGAATCACTTGAACCTAGGAAGTGGAGGTTGCAGTGAGCTGAGATGGTGCCACTGCACTCCAGCCTTGGTGACAGAGTGAGACTCCATCTCAAAAAAAAAAAAAAAAAAAAAAAAAAATTAGTCCAGCATGGTGGCACAAACCTATAGTCTTGGCTACTCAGGAGTTTGAGGTAGGAGGATTGCGTGAGCCCAGGGGTTTGAGGTTACAGCAGTCTATGATGGCACCTCTACACTGCAGCCTGGGGACCCTGTCTCAAGTGAAAAGAACAAAAATAACTGCTCTCCAAGACTGACTTCCCAGCATGGCATTGATCTTCATTATGTGGGATTTTGAATTTGTCATTGTCAGCTCACTAGAAGGAGACTTTATATTCTTATCCTCCCTCACTTTAAATTGATCCTTTCTCTCATCCTCTCTTGGGAGGAAAATGAAGCCCATTGATTGATAAAAATTGAAGAAAGTAATTGGTATTAGTATTAAAGGGACCACAAATAGTTTGGAAAAAAATGGCAATTGCTACTTGCTTCTTCCTACTAAAACATACCACAGCTAAAGCGACTGAGCTTTTAGAGTATGGCCTCGAAGTTTCCCATTAGTGGCCAAGATTGGCTGGACATTTTTTGTTTCTTTTCTGTTATTATTTTTTGCGTTGTACTTTTCAGCATGTCTGCAAATAACACTAAACTTCAGGAATTGCTGAGGTTTGGACATGACCTGGGAGTGCCCTGAACACCGTGATCTGTGGGGCAGCCCTGGAGTCGGGTTGTTAGATCAGCCTTTTGTAGGGGCAGAGTTTTGATTCGGGCTCACAGTCATTTCCCAACCAGGATTTCTTACGTCTAGTGCAGAGGTCAAGGTTGGCTTGCCTTTGTCAAGTTGAATCCGGTGACTGTTCATTTTGCCTGCTTCTAGAGTGCTACTGGTTGTAGTTGAGGCGGGGCGGGCGACTGTTCATTTTGCCTGCTTCTAGAGTGCTACTGGTTGTAGTTGAGGCGGGGACTCATAAAATGTCCGTTAACTGTTTAACAATGTAGTGCAACTGGGTTTGGCCTCACTACCATTCTTCATCCTGTTTATTGCACACAAGCCTTGTGTATTAGTCCGTTCTCACACTGCTATGAAGAAATACCTTAGACGGGGTAATTTATAAAGGAAAGAGGTTTAATTGACTCACATTTCTGCAGGGCTGGGGATGCCTCAGGAAACTTACAATCATGGTGGAAAGGGAAGCAAACCCATCCTTCTTCACAAGGTGGCAGGAGAGAGGAAGAATGAGAGCTGAGCGAAGGGGGAAGCCTCTTACAAAACCATCAGATCTTGTGAGAACTTACTATCACGTGAATAGAATGGGAGAAACCACCCCGTGGTTCAGTGACTTCCCACCAGGTCCCTCCTATGACATGTAGGGATTTGGGTGGGGACACAGCCAAATCATATCACCTTGATAGCGCTTTTTTGGCAGGGAGACATGTCTGCGGCATATTTGGAACACTTTGCCACGTATCCTCTAAAATCCCTCATTTTTAGAAAAGCTATAAGGAATCCAAATAGCTATCTTCTCTCCTCTATGTACAGTGAAGGACTGGGCATTTTATTTCAATTCTCTAAGGATTGGTGTAGTTAGATATCTTCAGTGATGTAACATTGGATGGCATCTTGGTAAAGTGAAAAAAACTTGAGCTTTGAATTTAAATTTTGTCTCTGCTGTTATCTGTGTGACCTTGGACAAGATATTTAACTTTCCATCTGTGACATGGAGATAATAATACGTACCTCAGGGTTAGGGGGGATTAGAATTAATATACTTTATTTTATTTATCCACTTATTTATTTATTTGTTTTTGAGACAGGGTCTTACTTTGTTGCCCAGGCTAGAGTGGAGTGGTGCAATCACAGCTCGCTGCGCCCTCAACCTCGTGGGCTCAAGTGATCCTCTCACTTCAGCGTCCCGAGTAGCTGGGACCACAGGCACATGCCACCATGCGCATCTTTTTTTTTTTTTTTTTGAGACTGAGTCTTGCTCTCTCTCCAGGCTGGAGTGCATTGGTGCGATCTTGGCTCACTGCAGCTTCTGCCTCCTGGGTTCAAGCAATTCCCCTGCCTCAGCCTCCTGAGTAGCTGGGACTACAGGCATGTGCCACCACGCCCGGCTAATTTTCTGTATTTTAGTGGAGATGGGGTTTCCCCATGTTGGCCAGGATGGTCTCGATCTTCTGACCTCATGATCTGCGTGCCTCAGCCTCCCAAAGTGCTGGGATTACAGGTATGAGCCACCGCACCTGGCTTTTTTTTTTTGAGCTGGAGTCTTGCTGTGTCACCCAGGCTGGAGTGCCGTGTTACGATCTCTGCTCACTGCAACCTCCGTCTCCTGGGTTCAAGTGATTCTCCCTGCCTCAGCCTCCCAAGTAGCTGAGATTACAGGCGACCACCACCACGCCTGGCTAGTTTTTATATTTTTGGTAGAGACAGGGTTTCACCATGTTGGCCAGGCTGGTCTTGAACTTCTGATCTCAGGTGATCTGCCCACCTTGGCCTCTCAAAGTGCTGGGATTACAGGCGTGAGCCACTGCGCCCAGCTAATGTAATTTTTAAGTATTGTGTAGATGAGGTCTCGCTATGTTGCCCAGGCTAGTCTCAAACTCCTGGCCTCAAGCAATCCTTCTGCCTCAGCCTCCTAAAGTGCTGGGATTACAGGCATGAGCCACCACATCTGGCCTAGAATAAATGTATTTTAAAACACCTTTTTTGCACAATGTTGGGCTCACTCATGTTTAGTAAATGGCAGGAACACCAGTGCTGCTGATACACAGTCCACTGGAATTTCAGTTTTCCTAGTTCCGTGCATCCAGGTATTTGTCGAGTTCCTGTGGCTTTTCCGTCAGCTCCATCAGCTCCTCTCCAGCCCCACTGCTGTGCTTTAAAGCAACTCCAGGTTTACTTGTTCTGAATTATCCCAGGCCCCTTACTGCCTTCAGCGTGCTGTTCTCTGTGAATAAAAATGGCGGCACAGCTTACCTATGGTCCAGAATATCTGCTGTGGCAACAGTGGTGGTCAAAGGTTCATTTCTCTTGTCCTGTCTTCAAGACCTCCATTAGATGTTTGCCTGGCGTGACATGCAATATCACCCTATAGTTAAAATAAACATTCCACTTGACAACAGAATTTATTATTTGTATTGTTTTTGAAATTTGAGACTGCAGATAGATTTTTTTTCATTTCTAGTTTTTATAACTTCCAAATTCTTCTTTTTTTTCTTCTTAGAGACAGGGTCTCACTCTGTCATTCAGGCTGGAATGTAATGGCAGGATCGTAGCTCACTCTAGCCTTGAACTCCTGGGCTCACGTGATCCTTCCACCTCAGCCTCCCAAGTAGCTAGGACTACAGGTGCACACCACTATGCCTGACTGTTTTAAAACACTTTTTGTAGAGATGGAATCTCACTGTGTTGCCCAGGCTGGTTTAGAACTCCTGGCTTCAGGTGATCCTCCCACCTACGCTTCCCAGAGTGCTGGAATTACAGGCATGAGCCACTGCAACCAGCCAATTCTCTTCTCTCTCTGTTTTTTTTTTTAGAGACAGGGTCTCGCTCCAGGGTCATCCAGGCTGGAGTGTGGCGTGCATAGCTCACTGTCTCAAACTCCTGGCCTCAAACGATCCTCCCACCTCAGACTTCCAAGTAGGTAGGACTACAAGTGCATGTCACCATGTCTGGCTAATTTTTTAATTTAAAAAGTTTTTTTTTGTAGTGATGGGGTGTTCCTTTATTGCTCTGGCTGGTCTTGGACTCCTTACCTCAAGCGATCTTCCTGCCTCAGCCTCCTGAGTGGCTGGAATTACAGGTGCAAGCCACCACACCTGTTTCCAGATTTTTCTCAATCATACACATGCTTCTTAACTTGCAATGAAGAATAAGTTCTTATTCTGATAAACCCATCGTAAGTTGAAAATATCCTAAGTTGAAAATTTATTAATACATGTAATTTACTGAACATCATAGCTTAGCCTACCGTGCCTTAAATTTATTTGCTCAGAACACTTACATTAGGCTACAGTCAGGCAAATCATCTAACACCGAGCCTATTTTATACTAAAGTGTTGAATAGCTCATGTGATCTGTTGAATACTGTACAGAAAGTGAAAAACAGAGTGGTTGTATGGGTACCCAAAGTATGGTTTCTACAGAATGTTTCTCACCTTTGCACCATCGTGTAGTAAGAAAATTCTGTGTTGAACCATCCCAAGTTGAGGGCCGTTGGTATATTATTTTAGAAGAAAAGTATTTTTGGATGCCGTATTGTAATGAACAGAAGGAACTGACACCTGGGTCACTGCAGGGAGCCTTTGCTGCCTGTTCAACACCGGTTTCCAGACCCAGGCTCTTGGAACTGCAGTCTTCCCTTCCTGGCTCTCAGACTCAAAGCTGCCCGCTTTCTCCACTCCAGCTGTTTGTGTTGAGTACATCTGTCTTTTTGTTTTCTCTGTCTCTCATTGCATCTCTAAAGCAAGGCAGTTTTTACGCCAAGATCATCAGGACTTTTACAGGTATTGGGATCTGTTTTCCTTTATTAGTCTTTTTTTTTCCTTTTTTTGGAAACAGAATCTAGCTCTTGTTGCCCAGGCTGGAGTGCAGTGGCGCGATCTCGGCCCACGGCAACCTCCGCCTCCTAGGTTCAAGTGATTCTCCTGCCTCAATCTCTCGAGTCGCTGGGATTACAGGCGTGAGCCACCATGCCTGGCTAATTTTTTGTATTCTTTAGTAGGGACGGGGTTTAATTATGTTGGCCAGGCTGGTCTCGAACTCCTGACCTCGGTGATTCACTCGCCTCGGCCTCCCAAAATGCTGGGATTACAGGTGTGAGCCACCGCGCCCGGCCAACTTGTTGATTTAAGAAAAGAAAAAAAGGAAATCTCTGGGACTTTGATTGGGATTGCGTTGAGTCTATAGATCAATTGAAGGAGAATTGACATCTTTACAATATTAAATCTTCCAATCTATGAACATGGAATATTTCTTCATATATTTAGGTCTTTAGTTTCTCTCAACAGTGTGTTTTAGTTTTTAGTATATAGATCTTGCTCATAGTTTGCTAGATTTATACTAAATATTTTGTGGTTTTTGGTATGATTATAAATGGTATCTCTTAAAATTTAAATTTCCAGTTGTCTCTTGCTAGTTGTGGAAATGTAATTGATTTTTATTTATTGACCTTATATTGTGCAGCTTTGCTGAACTCACTTATTAGTTTCAGGAATTTTTTTTTTGTAGGCTTTTGGGATTTTTAAAAAGTAGATAATCATCTCACCTATGAATAAAATATTTTTTGCCTTATTACTCTGGCTAGGACCTACAGTGTGATATGGAATAAAACTGGTGAAAGTGAATAGTTTGCTTTGTTCCCATGATATAGTTGGATTTAAATCTAGCATCTTGCTTGTTTTCTGTTTGTTCTTGTACTTCCTTGTCCTGGGTCCACAATATGCATCTTTATCACAGTCATATTGTCACTGATGTCACAGTGATGACATTGTATCACTTCACATGTAATGTGAGAGTCTTTTCATAGCAGGCTTCTGACCTCTTCCTCACATCCTCTCTGCATTCCACTCTGCCCCACATCTTGTTTTTACGTATTATGAACACCATCACTGTTGCTATTTTTGCTAATTAGAGTAATTAAAAATAAATTTTAAAAATATTTTTATTGTTTGTCAGTTTTCAAGTTTCTACATTTATTTTATATTTTTAGAGATGGGGTCTTGCTATGTTGCCTGAGCTGGCCTCAAACTCCTTGGCTCAAGTGATCTTCCTGCCTCAGCCTCCTGAGTAGCCGGAGGCTATTGGCGTGTGCCACCACACCCAGCTATTTTATTTTATGTTTGAAGAAGTAAATTGTATTGTGTATATGTAAGGTGTATAACATGTTATAGGATACATAAAGACAGTAAAATAGCCTGCAGAGAAGCAAATGAAGGCATTTGTCACCTCACATAGATCTCATTTTTATCTCCTTAGATCTGAGTTTTTTCTGTACCATATTTGTTCTGCCTCATGAACTTCCTTTAGTGTTTCTTATAACACGGTCTGCTGGCAAGAAATGCTCTCAGCTTTTCTTTGCTTGAAAAGTTTTAATTTTGCTTTTATTTTTTAAAAATATTTTTGCTTGGTTTAGGACTCTAGGTTGGCAGTTTTGTTGTTTTATTTTTTTTTAGTACTTTAAAAATGTCAGTCTTTGTCTTCTAGCTTGCATTGTTTCTGAGAAGTCAACCCTTATTCCTCTTGGGATCTCAGCACTTCTTGGATCAGTGGTTTAATGCCTTTCACTTAAAAAAAAATTCTCAGCCATTATCTCTTCAAATGTTTCTGTTGTGTTCTCTCTTCCTCCTAGAATTCTACTTACATGTGTTTTAGAACATTTAATACTGTCCTGCAGGTGTTGGATTTTCTTTTCTTTTTTCCTCTTTGTGTTTCAGTTTGGGTACTTTCTATTGACCCACCTTAAAGTTCACCAATCCTTTTTTTGCTGTGTCGAGTGTGATGAGGCTGTTGAAGGAATTCTTCAGCTCTGACACCATGTCCTTTTTTCTAGCATTTCCATTTGACTCTTATAATTTCCTGCTCTCTGCTGCAATTCTTCATCTGTTCGTGCAGGTAAAACACCTTTTCTACCAGATTCTTTAGCATATTATTCATTGTTATTTTAAAATCCCCTCCTCTGTAGCCTATCTAATATTTATACCAAATGGCTCCTCTTTGAGACAGGTTCTGTTGGTTGCTTTGTCTCTTAACAATGGGTGCTTTTCCTTTCTTCCCTTTCTTCTTTTTTTTCTTTTTTGGCGTATATATGTCTTAAAATTTTTTATTGAATGCCAGGCATTTTGTGTAGAAGAGGAGAGAGTGCCCCCATTTTTTCCTCATGAACACCCAGTGAAGGTCTTGGAAAAGAGCCTGAGAGTGGGTGCAAACCCACCTGTGCTTACACTTTCCAGGCCTCCCTACCATTGCGCCAGCCCACACTTGGCCTTTAGTAACTTGTTAAAAACTTTCCTTCAGCCCTCTCGCCTGCTTGTGTGGCACCCCCGTCTTCCTTACATGCCCTTCTACATGGAGACGGTTCTCCTGTCCTGTCTTTCCTGGGGGAGCACCTTCCTTCTTGGATTTCAGGATGCTTGGTTACCTTTAGCTCTCTGCTAGGTTCAAGAAAAGTTGTGGTTTTCAGTTTCCGTTTTCCTCCTTGTTAGTGTAAGAGCAGCACTCTTTCTGCTTTCTGCATCCTCGGCAGAAGCACAGCTGATCAGCGGGTTTCATGCAGCATATAGTATGGCAAGTTCATTAATTCAATTTCAAATCCCACACTGCAGCTAATCCTCAAGAATCTACCACTTTTTGAGTTTTAGTGTAGTTTAAAAAAGGCTTATCACCAAGTACCTGAAAAGGGCTGCTGTGTTTAAAGTGTTCTGTTCTATGAATTGCAGCTGAATAGACTAAGAAATGGGTATTAAAATATTTCTTCCTTTTCTAATTACATATATCTATGTGAAGCCAGATTTTCTTCATATTTTCAACCAAAACAGCATGTCACAGCACAGGAATGTTGGTATCTCCCACGATTCCTATGCTGGAACTTAATCCCTATTGTGACAGGATTTAAAAGCAGGGCCTTTGGGAGGTGACTGAGTCACAAGGGGTCTGCCCTCATCTGTGAGATCAGTGTCCTCATAAAAGACTTTTGAAGGATGGCCATTTGCCCCTTTCCCCATGTGAGGACACATAGAAGATGCCGTCTGTGAGGAAAGGGCCCTCACTGGGCACCAGATCTCCTGGTGCCTCCATCTTGGACTTTCCAGCTTCCAGGACTGTTAACAATTTCTGTTGTTTAGAAATTACCCAGTTTAAAGTATTTGGTTATATTAATAGCAGCCTAAATAGACAAAGAGTTGGGTATTAAAGTATTTCTTCCTTTTCTAACTACATATATCTATGTGAAGCCAGATTTTCTTCATATTTTCAACCAGAACAACAGATCACAACAGATTCAATATGGAAGCGTGTATGGGAGTCCAGCTGGTGTTTATCAGAGCAGACACTAAAGATTTTTGCAGAGACACCCCAGCAGTGCCACGCTTCTCAAGAAATTTGTTTTGTAGGCCGGGCGCAGTGGCTCACGCCTGGAATCCCAGCACTTGGGGAGGCTGAGGCAGGCAGATCACGAGGTCAGGAGTTCGAGACCACCCTGACCAATATGGTGAAACCATGTCTCTACTAAAAATACAAAAGTTAGCTGAGTGTGGTGGCATGCACCTGTAGGCCCAGCTACTCGGGAGGCTGAGGCAGAAGAATAACTTGAACCCAGGAGGCTGAGGTTGCGGTGAGCCGAAATTGCACCACTGCACTCCAGCCTGGGCAACAGAGCAATATTCCCTCTCAAAACAGAAAACAAAAAACAAACAAACAAAAAAACAACTTTGTTTTGTCTGGGGGGAAAATATAGTTATTTTTCAAAAAACATGTAATTTATGCTAACATGTAATATATTTATCATTGTCATGTTTAAATGGATTAACAGATACATATTTTTTATTTAAACTCCTCAGTTTTAATCTCCAACATTGGTATATGTCAGTAGATATAACCTACATAAACCCTTTCAATAAATTTCCAAGGGTATAAAGAGATTCTGAGGTCAAAAAGTTTTAGAAATGCTCTTTAGGATCAGCTAAGAGTGGGAATGGCAGGCAGTTTGTTCTTGATTTTAATGACAGGCACTTTACATAGTGTATCTGTTCATTTGCTCACTCAGTACATATTTAGTGAGTGCCTTCTGTGTGGTTGGCACTATTTTAAGCATTGAGAATTACACAATGAAAAAAGCAAAAGACACTTCTCTCCCGGAGCTGACACCAAGTGTAATGTTGTCTTGTTTCCCGATTCTTTTGACTGTTAAGGAGAGATCTTCACAATCTTGGTCACTAAGCACTTTTGCCAGAAAATAGACGTTGGATTTTATCATATGCCCTCTCAGCATGTACTGAATATAGTCATAGGGGTTTTTTCATGTTGTTGATTTGTTTAAGTTTTTTTTTCCTTCTTTTTAAAATATTTAACCTTTCATAAATGCTTGCTGGGTCATCGTGTATTGTCTTTTAAATATATTGTTGAATCCTAGTATTTTTATCTGGGATTTTGATTCATGTTAAAAAATGAAATTAGTTTGACATTTTCTTCTTTTTGGTTATCATTGTTAGATTTTGTATCGGGTTTATGTCAGTTTTTGTTGTTGTTATTTTGAGACGGAATCTCGCTTTGTCACCCAGGCTGGAGTGCAGTAGTGCGATCTTGACTCACTGCAACCTCTGCCTCCTGGGTTCAAGCGATTCTCCTGCCTCAGCCTCCCGAGTAGCTGGGATAACAGACGCCTGCTACCATGACCGGCTAATTTTTGTATTTGTAGTAGAGATGGGGTTTCACCATGTTGGCCAGATTGGTCTTGAACTCCTGACCTGAAATGATTCACCCACTTCGGCCTCCCAAAGTGCTGGGATTACAGGCGTGAGCCACCGCGCCCAGCCATGCCCAGCTAAATTTTTGTATTTTTAGTAGAGACGGGGTTTCACCATGTTGGCCAGGCTGGTCTCGAACTCCTGACCTCAGGTGATCCACCTGCCTCGGCCTCCCAAAGTGCTGGGATTACAGGTGTGAGCCACCATGCCTGACCTTTGTCAGCTTTATAAAACAAACTGGGATGCTTCCCATTTTTTGCAACCGCAGAGACCATTTAAATAGTAAACTGTTTCAGAGAGTCAGACTATAGATAATATACCCTGAAGTCCCTGAAGTCTTTGAAACAATTGACCCATTATCAAGGTCAAGTGCCTTTTGGGAGATTGGTTTCTTGGCAGCCTTTTCTGTTATTTCTGTGGTTATAGTTACATCTTCCACTTCTTGAGTTGATTTTAGTAAGTCCTTGTTCTTGAAAATAATTTTACTCAGATGTTTAAGTTTATTCATCCTTTCCAATTCTCTGTTTATATTCTCTTTCCATTCTTTTTGTTTTGTTTTGGTTTTTTGAGACGGAGTCTTGCTCTGTTGCTCAGGCTGGAGTGCAGTGGCGCAATCTCGGCTCACTGCAAGCTCCGCCTCCTGGGTTCAAGCGATTCTCCCGCCTCAGCCTCCCAAGTAGCTGGGACTACAGGTGGCCGCCACCACGCCTGGCTAATTTTTGTATTTTTAGTAGAGATGGGGTTTCACCGTGTTGGCCAGGATGGTCTCAATCTCCTGACCTCGTGATCTGCGCGCCTCGGCCTCCCAATGTGCTGGGATGACAGGTGTGAGCCACCGCATCTGGCCTCTCTTTTCATTCTTAATTTTATGTTTTCTCTTTCCCACACCCCCAATCCTAGATTAAAACAGCCAGAATTTCTTTAGGCCTTCTCAGAGGACTTGCACTTGGATATATTTGTCAGTTCTCCTCTTTTCCTGTTTCAGTTCATTACTCTGTACCTTTATATTTTACTGCTTTCATCTCTGTTGTCTTTATGCTCCTTCTACTTCTTGTTATGTAAGAAGAGCGCTTAAAGGTACGGCTTTTCTCTGAATGCCACTTTGGCCACATCTCCTGAGTGTTAAAAATGAATTTTTAATGGCGGGGGCGCGGTGGCTCACGCCTGTCATCCCGGCACTTTGGGAGGCCGAGGCGGGCAGATCACGAGGTCAGGAGATCGAGACCATCCTGGCTAACACGGTGAAACCCCGTCTCTACTAAAAATACAAAAAAATTAGCCAGGCGTGATGGCGGGCGCCTGTAGTCCCAGCTACTTGGGAGGCTGAGGCAGGAGAATGGCGTGAACCCGGGGGGTGGAGCTTGCAGTGAGCCGAGATCATGCCACTGCACTCTACCTGGGCGACAGAGCGAGACTCTGTCTCAAAAAAATATATATATATATATATTTAGCCAGGAGTGGTGGCACATGCCTGTAATCCCAGCTACCCGGGAAGCTGAGACAGGAGAATCGCTGGAGCCCAGGAGGCAGAGGTTGTAGTGAGCCGAGATCGTGCCACTGCACTCCAGCCTAGGCGACAGAGCGAGACTCTGTATCAAAAAAAATAAAAAAGAATTTTTATTGTTTTTATTTTTATGGGTTTTTTGTTTTTGTTATTTTGAGACAGAGTCTCACTCTGTCACCCAGTCTGGAGTGCAGTGGCTTGATCTTGGCTCACTGCAGTCTCCACCTCCCGGGTTCAAGCGATTCTCCTGCCTCAGCCTCCCAAGAAGCTGGGACTACAGGTGCCCGCCACCATGTCCAGCTAATTTTTTTGTATTTTTAGTAGAGATAGGGTTTTGCTATGTTGGCCAGGCTAGTCTGAAACTCCTGACCTCAGGCAGTCCGCCTGCCTCATTTGACCTCTCAAAGTGCTGGGACTTCAGGCGTGAGCCACCGGGCCTGGCTTTTTTTCTCTCTTGAGACAGGGTCTGGCTGTGTCACCTCGGCTTCAGTGCAGTGATAAAATCATGGCTCACTGCAGCCTCGACCTCCCAGGCTCAAGTAATCCTCCCACCTCAGCCTCCTGAGTAGCTGGGACTACAGGCACTCGCCACCACGCCTGGCTAATTTTTTTTGTATTTCTCGTGGAATCCGGGTTTTGCTGTGTTGCCCAGACTGGTCTTGAACTCATGGGTTCAAGCGACCTCCTGCCTCAGCCTTTTAAATGTTGGGATTACAGGTGTGAGCCACCACACCTGGCCTGGTTTTTTTTCTTGGCAAGTAGCTTGGTGTAATTGATGATGCTTTTAAAAATTTTATTAAATTTCATTTTAGTAAATATAACCTTTTTCAATTTTTTATATGGCTATATTTTAACAGCATTAGTGAGCTATAATTCACATATAATTCATCTATTTAAAGTATACTGTTCAGTGGTTTTTGATATTACATTATTTTTTAAACCTTGTAAAATATGTATATAATATAGAATTTATTATTTTAACATTTTTAAGTGTATAATTAGTGGTATTAATTACATTCATAATGTACAACCACCACTACCACTATTTCTGAAATTTATTCATCACCCCAAATAGAAACTCTGTAAACATTAAAACCATTAAGTCCTTCCTTCCCCTGCCCACTTTCCTCAACTTCTTGTAACCTCTATTTTACTTTCTGTCTCTATGAATTTGCCTATTCTGGGAACTTTATATTAATATAAGTGGAATTCTACAATATTTGACCCTTTGTATCTGGTGTATTTCACTTCTGTGGTCTTCAGGATTCATCCACGTTGTAGCATGTATCAGCACTTTCTTCTCTTTTACGGGTGAATAATATTCCGTGGTGTAGTTCCACCACATTGTGTGTATCCATTCATCTGTCCATGGACACTTGGATTGTTTCCACCATTTGGCTTTTGTGAACAGTGATGCTATGAATATTGGCATACAAATACCTGTTTGAGTTTCTGCTTCCGTCCCTTATGCTGTGTACCTAGGAGTGGAATTGCTGGGTCACATGGTAATTTTTAATCATTGCAATATTTAATCTCTTTAGAAACATTTTTCCATATTGTTCTGAACTTTCATAGATTCATTCTTTCCATAGACTCAGGTGCATTAACACAAGCGTTCTGTTTTGTCTTCATTTAATTAATATAGACAACATGTTTCTGATTAGCAAGAATCTTAAGCTTTTGTATGTAGTGCCTACTCATGGAGATGTTCTCTCCCACAAAAAAAAAAAACCACCCTGATTTTTTCTTTTATTTAGTTAACTAGTCCAGCAGTTGGACTGTTTCCTTCCTGACCTTAGAAACGCCAAGTCCCGCTTTTCTGCAACATGATTATTGAAAATAGTTTTAGGAAAATACTGCGCCAAGAAAGAACACTGAAGTTTATTGTTCTTCTGAGCCATCTCCATATAAATTGGCAGGTTCTTCTGAGCCATCTCCATATAAACTGGCAGTCTTCAGGAGCCAAGAAAGAAGGTCAAGCGTAACTCACCATCTGCTTATTTCCATGTTAGAGGCAGTCACAAGTTTAAACTAGACTCTGCGTCTCAAGAGGAAAATGCCATTCATCACCACTGTAACTGCTCTGGCTAGTACCCAGGTCACTCTTGCTTTTGATTGCTAGTAGTTAGAAATCGTGTAAGGAAAATTCCATCCTCAGTTTGAGGCTGTGCATTAGAAAAATTGCGGAATTACTGCCAACAGAGCAAAGCCTTCTGGATTTCAGGTCCTTGATACAAGAAGTCACTGAGATATGTTTGTACAATGGATGGGAATTTGGCTTTCTGTCTTCATGGAAGAACTTGGCCTCCTTTTTCCTCTTCCCTCTTTCATCCACGGAAACAGTATTTAGAAGAGCACAGATTCAGCGTTGTGGTTGTGCCGTCACCATTTCCATGTGTAAGTCTCCATTTTCAAGAGTCTGTAACTATAAAATTTCCTTTGCTCCAATTTGGACTCCAGGGTCTCCTCTGGAAGGAGATTAGTTTTGCAAAACCAAAGATAATACATCTGTTTTGGCTTGGCGTTTTGTAGTCATCTAGATTAAAGCTCTAAAATACATCAGAAACTTGTCGTCCTCCGTATATTATTGGATCCCATGCCGGGGTTTCTAATTTCTGTTTCTGTATTGCATCGTAGACTCTGAACAGATGCTGTGTTCGTTTCTAGGTATTGTATGTGATACCTGGAATATGGATGTTAGGCAAAAATGTATTAGTGCCACTTTCATAATGACCCCCAATTTGGAGGGGGGCATTTCTTCTGGAGATATACTTACTACCAAGTAAGTTTTTTTTTTTTTTTTTTTTTTGAGATGGGAGTCTCGCCCTGTCGCCCAGGATGGAGGTGTGATCTCAGCTCACTGCAACCTCCGCCTCCTGGGTTCAAGTGATTCTCCTGCCTCAGCCTCCTGAGTAGCTGAGATTACAGGTGCCTGCCACCACACCCGGCTAATTTTTGTATTTTCGGTAGAGACGGGTTTTCACCAGGTTGGCCAGGCTGGTCTCGAACACCCAACCTGAGGTGATCCGCCCGCCTCTGCCTCCCAAAGTGTTGTGATTACAGGCGTGAGCCACTGCACCTGGCCCCAAGTAAGTTTGATGATTCAAATTCTGTCTTTAAAGCAGGAGAAAAGGTGTATTTGAGGGGTCTTTACCCCATCTCAGACCGAATTCTTAACTCCTGTCTCCTTGTTGTACTTGAGCTTTTCTTGTTCCTAGTCACAAGGGAACGGTCGCGACAGACAGCCCTCTCCTACTTCCGTGATAACCGTAGAATTATCAGCTAGGCAAAGTGCTACTTCTAATAAGTCAGAAATTTAAACTTTTTTTTCATTGAAGACTTAGAGATTCTAGTCTTTAGAGATTTCTGGTAACTAGTGTCTTGTGGGCAGGTTCTAGGACCGTTTGTCAGCCCTGGAATTTTCCAGATCTCTGTAATTAAGGATGTACTGTTTTAAGGCTGATCTGTTCTTGATTCATTCACTGTAAGCAAAGACACATTTTCAGTTGCTTTTGCAGAACATAACATTTTGAGTCATTTGTCTTGATCTGTAATGCTAATGTTTTATTACACTATAAATGTTTACCTTGCAAAATATTGTTGCATATATTACTTTACTTGATTTACTCGATTCACATGTTTACAAAGATGTGTGAATTAGGCCACGTAGATGCTGTTCTCCCCATTTTACAGATGAAGAGATGGCCCGCATCAGTTCTGTGACGTGCCCAAAATCACACGAAGCGAGTTAATCACAGACCCAGATTTTCTCATTCGCAGTATGCTGCATACTTGTCCATACTAAATTATCTTTAAACAGTGACAAACATTTAAAAGCAGATTTGGGAGCCACCTGTTTTGCTGTGGAGCCTGGAAGGCTGATTCATAAGGAATTTCAAATAATGGCAGTGACCATGGCCTCATTAGCCAGCTTGGTCCCCCTCAGTATGACGAAGAAACTGGACTGAGAGAAGAACCCCAGGTTGAAGAGAACTCTCTGTGTTCTGCACACCTGTGCTGCCGAAAATACAGACACCAGTGAGGCCCTAAAGAGAGTAAGCGAACCAGGAAGAGAAAAAAATCACACAGATGAATCCTCGCAGCCTGAAGGGCATTTGGCACAGAAGGTGTCTCAAAAAGTCAGCTGAGGGAACATCCAGATGTCACGCAAAAGGATGTTTTCTCCTGAATGAAGACTTACGATATAGATGAGAGTTATGAAGTGACTAAAATGAGAAGTAATAGTAAGATATGGGGAATTAGAATGAAGTCAATAACCTCGAACTTGGCAACTGGAAGTCCTGGCTATTTGGGAAAAGTAGTCCTTTGTTAAACTTGGACAAGTTGTTCCTTTTAATGTGCCCCATTTCCAAAAATATTGAATTTCTTTACCTTTCATTCAGCAAAAGCAGCAGAAACTTTTGCTTAAACGTTTCCTTGTCTTTTGCCACTTGGAGGTGTTGCTTGAAATGCTCTCATCCTCCGGGGTTACCTTTCGTCAAAGGAAGCTGCATGAACGCATCCGTCACTCGCAGCTATTTCAGGGCTAGCTTGTTTTAAGTTAGGGGTGATAACAGATATAGGCAGAACTTTGCAATGTAAATGTTTAGTCTTATTTGGGCACTGCTGAATTTGTTTCCGAGCCTCGTCTTGTGATTTTAATTTCTGGCTTGTCTCCTGAAAACAACAAAAATGAGCTCTTTGGTTCACATTTTCAGTGGCTTTGGTTTGCAGAAATCATAAATAAAAGTAACTTACATGGAACAGAACATTTTAACAAACAAGGTGAGAATTACTCCGTTTGCTCTTTACAGTCCTTTGGTTTTTGGTTCACAAACTTGGAAAGAAATCTGTGCTTTAAATAAAGCCTTCTTATACTCCAGGTTCCTAAGTGGTGTGGAGGAATTTGTGTAAACATCAGTGATTCTCATCTGATGGGCGCCATCTGGCATTTGACCAGGGCAGTCCTGGTTGAGTTCTCGGACACGTAGGGAAGCAAAGAGCTGTAGACGTGCAGCCATCTGTGGCTGTGAGAGTCCGACAGCCTCTGCTGCTGTTGAGCACCATCATGGGGAGTGGGCTGCGTTGTTGGCATTGCTGAGGCTGGGTGTGTGAGAGTCCCGCAGCCTCTGCTGCTGTTGAGCACCGTCGTGGAGAGCGGGCTGCATTGTTAGCATTGCTGAGGCTGGCTGAAGCACCTCTGTTTCAGCTGGGGATACCTCGTTTCCATAGCAACAGCTCTCAGTGATGCCGGGGTGGTCAGCAGTAACAAAAGAAGAGACTTTCTCTAAAGAGAGGCGACTTGACCCTTGGTGTCCACCCTCAGTGGATGTGGTGAGGGCTTCCGTGTAGGGCTTATCAGATGTGGTAGCACTCATCCATGTTTCTGCTCTCTGGAGGACCTCCTGGCTTTCGAAATGATGCTGCCGTTGTTTTTTTTTTGTTTTTGTTTTTGTTTTTTTTTTGCGACGGAATCTTGCTCTGTGCCCCAGGCTGGAGTGCAGTGGCACAATCTCGGCTCACTGCAAGCTCCACCTCCTGGGTTCACGCCATTCTCCTGCCTAAGTCTCCCGAGTAGCTGGGACTACAGGCGCCCGCCACCACGCCCGGTTAATTTTTTGTATTTTTAGTAGAGACGGGGTTTCACCGTGTTCGCCAGGATGGTCTCGATCTCCTGACCTCGTGATCCACCTTCCTCAGCCTCCCACAGTGCTGGGATTACAGGCGTGAGCCACTGCGCCCGGCCGCTGCCATTCTTTATTCATCGCTCTTTGTATCATTTTGTGTATAATTCAGACATGTATTCCTTACAAGCCCTTTAAAGATACATTCCCTAGCTAGTGATCTTTTTCTCTCAGTATCTAGCACAGTACATGTAATAGGCACTCACTTTTTAATTGAATGAATGAACAAAAGACTTCAATTTTTTTCTGGAGAATGTCTCATTTTCAGCATGGTTCAAAGATTCCATCCTCTTAATCCATGAGCCGTTCTTCTGAGTCTGCCTGCAGATACTGAACTTAGCCATCTTATTTACAAAGCTCTAAAAGATGAGTAACAACCTCTGATTCTTAGAGGGTAGTCTCATCTGAAATATCCTACTCCATCTAGGAGATGTGGGAATACTAATAGTTGCCATTAAGTGAGCACTTTCTGTGAGCTGAGTGCTTTATAAACTCATTCAAGACTCTCTTGGTTGCAGAAGACAAAAATCCCAATTCAAACGGGCTTAGGCAAAAGGGGGATTATTTGGAAGGATCCTGTTGTGTCTCGTTTGAAGAAGTTCAACAAGTGTGACCGCCAGAAGGATAGCGTCTCAGCTGGGCTTGTCAAACAGCTGAAGCCAAAGACGGGAGTAAAGCTCAGAGAGAGAGAGAGAGAGAGAGAGAGAGAGAGAGAGATTGAGATTGTGTGAGAGAGAGATTGTGTGTGTGTGTGTGTGTGTGTGTGTGTGTGTGTGTGTGTGTCACCCTCATCATCTCTACCTGTAGTCCAGCCTCCTGCCCTTCCTGGGGAACCTAGCTGCTCTCTAACTCAGTTTCACTTCTTGGGACTCCTACCACCCGCGAAAGACAAACTCTTTTTCCCAATTCTCATTCTGGTGGCTCACGCCTGTAATCCCAGCATGTTGGGAGGCCGAGGTAAGCGGGTCATGAGGTCAGGAGATGGAGACCGTCCTGGCCAACATGGTGAAACCCCGTCTCTACTAAAAATACAAAAATTAGCTGGGTGTGGTGGCGGGTGCCTGTAATCCCAGCTACTCAGGAGGCTGAGGCATGAGAATCACTTGAACCCAGGAGGCGGATGTTGCAGTGAGCTGAGATCATGCCACGACGAAGCGTGACTCTGTCTCAAAAAAAAAAAAAAAAAGTCATGGGAAAACTGCTCCAACGAGGGCCTGGTCAGCTCTTGGACAGCAGACTCTGTAGAAACACGGTGAAAGGAAGATTTCGCATGCGGAGGGGAAGAGTGTTGGGTAAACGATTCCAAACATATTTTCTACTCTCACATTCCTTACTACCTTTCAGGTAGCTGATAGAATTTGCATTCTGGAAATTATGAAACTACTTCCTAGAGGATAAGAGGCTTGACAGAAATCACACAGTAACTGGCAGAGCCAAGGTTTGAATCCCAGTCTGCTAGTTGAAAATCCCTTGCTTGTAACTCATACAGCATGTTGCTCCCTCCCTCCCTCCCTCTTTCTCTTTTCTTTCTTTTCTTTCTTTCTTTCCTCTTTCTTTCCTGTCTCTCTTTTCTTTTTTTCTTTTTCCTTCCTCCCTCCCTTCCTTCCTTCTTTTTGTCCCTTCCCTTCCCTTTTCCTTTTCCTTTCTTCTTTCTTTTCTTTTCTTTCTCCGTCTCACTCTGTTGCCCAGGCTGGAGTGCAGTGGCATAATCTTGGCTCACTGCAACCTCCACCTCCTAGGTGCAGGCGATTCTCCTGCCTCATCCTCCCCAGTAGCTGGGATTACAGGTGTGTACCATGATGGCTGGCTAGTTTTTGTATTTTTAGAAGAGACGGGGTTTCACCATGTTGGCTAGGCTGGTCTCTAACTCCTGACCTTAGGTGATTTGCCTGCCTCGGCCTCCGAAAGTGCTGGGATTACAGGCGTGAGCCACTGCACCTGGCCCAGCACGTTGCTTTTCCATATAATAGAAAAGGGAACCAGCAGATAGATGTCAAGTTGGAAAACAGAAATGGTAGCAAAATAGTGGAAAAATCTAATTTTCTCCCCAGTAACCGTGAATAATAGCACCTTATTTTTTCACAGAATAGTCTAAAGCCATACCAGCTCTTCGGAAAATGAACAACCTTTCCTCCTTCCTGCAGTGGCCACAAAGGGGATCTCGGTTTAAAATCTCTGAAAGGCTGCCTGCGGACTCACAGGATAAAGGCAGCATCATTCTCTGATGGCGCAGACTGCAAAATTAGATGGACCTGAGAGCCAGAGGGATGCTCATTTCTTAAGGCACTGCCAATGAATCAGAGCCCCTCTGTCTACTAACGTGGCAGACAACAGTTCTGCAAAAAAAGGAAAAAGAGAAAGAAGAAAGCAGGAGAGTCTGTGCCAGGTTCCATACTCCTTATCTTCCACACGTGACCTCCTGTGGCTTTGAGAGCCTGCTCACCGTCTCCTCCAGGAGGCAAGGAGAATTCAGAGTAGTGGTTACCATTAGGATGCACAGAAATACAAAGATGCTGGAATTGGTTTTGCTGAGCCTTCTAGGCTAATTCAGTGGGTTGCTTTTCATCTCCTGTTTACAGAATTTGAGTCTTAAAAGAGGAGCACGGCAGTCACCGCTTTATAACACCGTCAGATACAGGCTGTGGCTCCAGTGCCCAGTTCACCAGTGCCCAGTTCACCAGTGCCCAGTTCACCAGTGCCCAGTTCAGAAACTCCAGTAGGGGCAGATTAAACACAGTCGCCGCTTTATAACACTTTAGGATGCAGGCTGTGTGTGTATAGAATTTGAGTCCTAAAAAGGGCCACAACAGTCACTGCTTTATAACACCTTTAGACGTAAGCTGTAGCTCCAGTGCTCCGTTCAGAAACTCTAGTGGGGTAGATTAAATGCAGACATTTTTGGGAGTGATTAGTTCTGTTTTTAATCCACATACAGCTTGGAATGGAAAGTAGCCACCTTTTAATTTTTTTATTATTACTTTTTTTTCTTCTTTTTTTTTTTTTAGATGGAGTCTCGCTCTGTCACCAGGCTGGAGTGCGATGGCACCATCTCAGCTCACTGCAACCTCCGACTCCCTGGTTCAAGTGATTCTCCTGCCTCAGCCTCCCGAGTAGCTGGGATTACAGGCATGCGCCACCACACCCAGCTAATTTTTGTATTTTTAGTAGAGATGGGGTTTCACCATGTTGGGCAGGATGGTCTTGATCTCTTGACCTCATGATCCACCTGCCTCAGCCTCCCAAAGTGCTGGGATTACAGGCATGAGCCATCGCACCTGGCCTAATTTTTTTTTTTTTTTTAAGACAGAGTATGTCTCTGTCACCCAGGCTGGAGTGCAGTGGCGCAATCTTGGCTCACTGCAGCCTCCGCCTCCTGGGCTCAAGTGATTCTCATGCCTCAGCCTCCGGAGTAGCTGGAACTATAGGCATGTACTAGCACACACAGCTAATTTTTTTAGTATTTTTAGTAGAGACGGAGTTTCGTCATGTTGGTCAGACTGGTCTTGAACTCCTGGCCTCAAGTAATCCACCGTCAGCCTTGCAGCGTGCTGGGATTATAGGTGTGAGCTACTGCCCCCCCGGCCAACCACGTTTTTATTTTAAAAAGTGTCTAGGGACAGTGCCAGAGTGATTCTTTCAGCACATTTCTGATTAGCCAGGTAGTGAAGGTATTTTTGTGTTTCTTAAAAAAACCTTAACTTCTTGTAGGACCCATGATTCTTCCAGTTGCAAAACAATCTTTCTATATGACTCATGATCAGAGGTTAGATGTCAAATATTAGGGTGTGTGTTGAGAATGGACTTGCCTGATAGCACCAGTGCTTCAGAGGAGTTTTTAAACTCTGCAAAATGAATTATAGTACATTTCCCCAACTTCAGTACCTTATTAAAACAAGCAAAAGTATTCCAGCCCGAAAAAAGTCTGGCACATAGTTTATCTATCTTGGAGACTGTGACATGTAAGATTGTGTGAGTCTTATTTGTTTGCTGGAAGAAAAAAGCGATACCTTCAGCAGAGACAGTTCTGGTAGGATGCCAGGTTTAATGTAAGAGAGAAAGGGATAGAAACCCTTTCTCTGAGATAGGATCATGCAGACTTCTTCATATGTGAGACCTAAGTGTATAACTTAGCCCCTTTTTTGCCTTTCTTAGCTGCATGTCATATGTTTTAGGGTGTTTGTCTAGAACACAGTAGCTATGGTCCCATTAGCATGTCACCATAACATGACATGACCTGCAGTATCACAGAATTCCATGTGAGCTGTGTCGAAAAAGATCAGTCCTTTCTAGTGGTCAGTTGCCTACAGAGGCCTCTGTTGCACTTTTTACTCCACGATTGAAACTTTTTTAGAATTTACTGATCCCATGTAGCATCTTGGATATTAGACTCTGTTTAAGCCAAATAGAGAATACTTACAGAAAGCATGAAGCTGTGATTTTGAACCACTGCTCATGGTTGGGCCTGAAGTTAGAGGAATGGTTATGAGCGCACTTATTCAGAGCGGTAGCCTCAGCACCAGCACTCTTACAGGTGCACCATGATACTTTTAATCAGTGGGCAATATTTGTCAAGGTCCCACTGTGCCATAGCCTTGCTTAGGTGCTGTAGGTGAGGTGACCATATGATTTATCACCAGAGTCACTTTGAGAAGGAGAGGGAGCTGTTAATAACTATACTGAATCATAAACGCAGCGTGTCCCCGGTAAACCAAATGGATGATTGGCTCAGCTATGGGCTCTATAGGAGTGCTGTTCATATCCTTGGTCCCCATTCTAAAGGATACTTATAACCCTGCTAAAGGGCTAATACTCATACACTAAACCAGTGGTCCCCAACCTTTTTGGCACCAGCGAGCAGTTTTTTGGAAGACAGTTTTTCCATGGACCAGGGAGGGGGACATGGTTTCAGGATGAAACTGTTCCACCTCAGATAATCAGGCCTTAGTTAGATTCTGTTAAGGAGCTTGCAACCTAGATCCCTCGCGTGTGCAGTTCACAGTAGGGTTCGCGCTCCTATGAGAATCTAATACCGCTGCTGATCTGAGGAGGGGGAGCTCAGAAGATCATGCTCACTCACTTGCCCACCGCTCACCTCCTGCTGTGCGGCCCAGTTCCCAACAGGCCACGGACTGGTGCTGGCCCACGGCCCAGGGCTTGGGGTCCCCTGCACTAAACAATTCAAGAACATTATGTTTAAAAAAGTCCTCTTCTGTAATTAACCCATTGCCCCCCCCCCCAGAACATTATGTTTAAAACAGTCCTCTTCTGTAATTAACCCATTGCCCCCTCCGCAGAACATTATGTTTAAAACAGTCCTCTTCTGTAATTAACCCATTGCCCCCCCCAGAACATTATGTTTAAAACAGTCCTCTTCTGTAATTAACCCATTGCCCCCCCCAGAACATTATGTTTAAAACAGTCCTCTTCTGTAATTAACCCATTGCCCCCCCAAATAAATTTCTCTCCTGCTAAATCACTCCCAAGCAGACGTATGCAAGCATTTCTCATCTTTAAAAATTACTCCCTTTACGCCATCTTTTGCCCTATTTTTCTTCCTTTCTCATAGCAAAAACTTCTTGAAAAAAAAAGTCTATACCAGGGTCAGCAAGCTTTCTGTTAAGGGCTGGATAGTAAATATTTTAGCCTTTACTGACCATATGGTCTCTGTTGTAACTATTTATCTCTGCCATTGTGTGGCAAAAGTCCCCATAAACAATACTTAAACAAATGAGTTTGGTTTAAGTATTATTAATGAGTTTCGGTCCAAAAACACATTGTTTACAAAAACAGGTGGCAGACGTGGCAGACTGGCTTCAGCCCACAGGCCATCATTTGTGGCCTGCTCTGTGATCACAGCCTCTACTTCATGTCATCGCTGTCCATTCCCTTGACTGCATTGAGACTGCTCTTGTCAAGGTCACCAACAACTTCCCTGTTGTCAAAATCAGTAGCAGCTGTCTTCATTTTTTTTTTTGAGATGGAGTCTTGCTCTGTCGCCTAGGCTGGAGTGCAATGGCACCATCTTGGCTCACTGCAGCTTCCGTTTCCTGGGTTCAAGCAATTCTCCTACCTCAGCCTCCTGAGTAGCTGGGATTACAGGTGCACACCACCATGCCTGGCTAATTTTTGTATTTTTAGTAGAGACAGGGGTTTCACCATGTTGGTCAGGCTGGTCACAAACTCTTGACCTCATGATCCACATGAGTTTTTTGTTGTTGTTGTTGTTTTGAGATGGAGTTTTGCTCTTGTTGCCCAGGCTGGAGTGCAGTGGCACGATCTTGGCTCACTGCAACCTCTGCCTCCTGGGTTCACGCGATTATCCTGTCTCAGCCTCCTGAGTAGCTGGGATTACAGGCGCCTGCCACCACGCCCGGCTAATTTTTGTATTTTGAGTAGAGACAGGGTTTCATCATATTGGTCAGGCTGGTCTTGAACTCCTGACCTCAGGTCATCCACCCGCCCTGGCCTCCCAAAGTGCTGGGATTATAGGCCTGAGCCACTGCGCCCAGCCTCTTACATGAGTGTTTAACAACAGAAGGCACAATCACTCTTTCCTTCTCCTTCAAACACTTCTGTTTGGCTTCTGTAACACCCATCGTCCCTGATTTTTTCTCATGTCACTGGTGGTTTTTCTCTGCATCTCTGCTTTTTTTTATTTTAGACTTCTGAATATTGGCATGCCCAAGGGTCAGCCCTGTGCCATCTTTTCTTCTCTTGTGTATTCTGTCTTCCTAGGTGACTTCTAATCTTACAGACTTACATATCATCTCTAAAGTAATGACTTCTGAATTTAAATCCCAACCTATCACCTCTCTTCCAAGCTCCAGAATCTTATGTCCAACTTAATGTCTCTACTTGATCTCAAGTAAGCTATCTTTTTTTTTGGTCGGGACAGAGTTTTGCTCTTATTACCCAGGTTGGAGTGCAGTGGTGCTATCTCAGCTCACTGCAACCTCCGCCTCCTGGGTTTAAGTGATTCTCCTGCCTCAGCCTCCCGAGTAGCTGGGATGACAGGTGCCCGCCACCACGCCCATCTAATTTTTGTATTTTTAGTAGAGACGGGGTTTCACCATGTTGGCCAGGCTGTCTTGAACTCTTGACCTCAGGCGATCCGCCCGCCTCAGGCTCCCAAAGTACTGGGATGACAGGCGTGAGCCACCATGCCCAGCTTACTGTCTGTATTTCTACCAACACTCCGGTCACAACCATGAAGTAATTTCTAAGAAGTTCCAGACTTTCTCTACATTTCTGCTTTTCTTCTGAGCCCTTAGCAGAATCCCCCTTAGCACTCTGTTCACAGCAATACAGGCTTTTTCCAGCCTTCACTTCAAGACTGTTCCACATCTGTCCATCACCCAGCTCCAAAGCCATGTTTTCAGGTATTTACTATAGCAGTAGCCCACTTCTTGATACCAGTTTTCTTAGTCTGTTTTATGTTACTGTAACAGAATAGTACAGACTGAATCATTTATAAAGAAAAGAGATTTCTTATAATTCTGGAGGCTGGGAAGTCCAAGGTCAAGGGGCCCACATCAGGCAAGGGCTTCTTACCGCATCTTCCCGCGGCGAGGGCTTTCTCACTGCGTCGTCCCGCGGCGAGCGCCTTCTCACCATGTCGTCCTGCGGCGAGGGCCTTCTCACTGCGTCGTCCCATGGCAGAGTTGGAAGGCAAGAAAGTGTGTGCATGCACGAGAAAGTGGCTGAACAGATCCTTTTATCAAGAACCCACTCCCGAGATAATGCCATTCATTTGTTCGTGAGGGCAAACCCCTCATGACCTGGTCACCTCGTAAAGGCCCCACCTGCCAACACCATTGCATTGGGGATTATGTTTCCAACACATGAACTTTGGGGATGCATTCCAGCCATAGCACAGGCACCCGTAACGTATTGCAGATGGGACTCTTCACTTCCAGCCCCGCCACCACCACACACACCTGCCTGTCAAGCCCGTCCTCCTCCTGCATTCCCTGGTTCAGACAGTGAACCCTGGCCTTGGCTTTTCAACCAAAACCCGGGCGTCATCCTTGGTTCTCCCTCTCCCTCATCACCCACACACAGTCCATCAGTGAGTCCTACACATTGTACCTTCCTGGAAACCCTGAATCGCTCGGCGTCTTCCCGTCAGCACCGGCTGCCTCTTCTAGGCCTCCACCGTCTCGTGGACACTGCAGCAACTTCTCACAGAGCTTTCACTCCCGCTTTCCCTCCTGCCCCTGCACAGCCCCTTTGCCACACAGCAGCCAGGACAGTCTTATACAAGTAAGCCATACATCTGTCCCTTGTTTAGACCCTTCAGTGGCTTCTCATTGGCACTTAGAGCAGAATCCTTATGCTTTGAGGCCTCCGTGCTCTGGCTCGTGCCCACCTCTCCAGATTATTTCCAGACACTTCCCGCTGCAATATTGCACTACCACCTACTGTCTGTCTTTTCGGACCTCCAAAACACCGAGGTCTTTTCTCTGTCAGGATCTTCACATTTGCTTTTCTCTCTGCTGAAAATCCTCTTACTCCAGGCTGGGCGCGGCGGCTCACGTCTGTAATCCCAGCACTTTGGGAGGCCGAGGCGGGCAGATCACGAGGTCAGGAGATCGAGACCATCCTGGCCAACACGGTGAAACCCCGTCTCTACTAAAAATACAAAAAATTAGCCAGGTGTGGTGGCAGGTGCCTGTAGTCCCAGCTACTCGGGAGGCTGAGGCAGGAGAATTGCTTGAACCTGGGAGGCAGAGGTTGCAGTGAGCTGAGATCACGCCACTTAACTCTAGCCTGGGCAACAGAGTGAGACTCCATCTCAAGAAAAAAAAAATCATCTTACTCCAAATCTACAAATTCTCACACCTCCTCATCCTGCAGGTCCCGATTTGTGTGCCCTTTCTCAGGAGACCTTCTGTGACCACCATCTCCCTTATTCTCATCACTGCATAAGTCCTTCACCACACCTGTCAATTCACCACACTTAGGAATTATCTTGTTTCTTTATTTTGTTGTTTTTCCAGGATCTCCTCCCCCTTACTTCTCAAAGTAAGTTCATTCCTTGAGGACAGAGAGAGAGACCATACTGTCTTGTTTACCATTGGATTCCCAATGCCTAGAATCATGCCTGGTATATGGGAGGCATTCAGTAAATACTCATTGAGTGATTGAAGGAGTGAATTAAGGAGATGCTGACTCGTGCCTAGAACTATAACTGCCTCAGGAATTCATAGTCTTTAGTCACGGACAGTCCAGTGCATGTGGTCTATACACATCCGTGGCCTGCTGACACGCTCACAGACACTTTAGCTGTAGGTAGTCTTTACTCACGGACGGTCCAGTGCCTGTGGTCTATACACGTCTGTGGGCTGCTGGCACTCACAGGTACTTTAGCTGTAGGTAGTCTTTACTCACGGATGGTCCAGTGCATGTGGTCGATACACGTCTGTGGGCTGCTGGCACTCACAGGTACTTTAGCTGTGGGTAGTCTTTACTCACGGACGGTCCAGTGCATTTGGTCTGTACACGTCTGTGGCCTGCTGGCACTCACAGGAACTTTCTGGTCTCCACATGTCACAACTGCCCTCATGTTGCTTCCCCTCCTAGCAGAAGCTGCAGCTGTGTTGTAATACTTTCATTGTGTAGCATCTGTCCTTGTAGGTTTTTATTTCAGTGGAAATGCTGGGCTCACCATTAGCTTTTTGCTTGTTTTTTTGAGACAAGATCTCGCTCAGTCACCAGGCTGGAGTGCAGTGGCATGATCACAGTTCACTGCAGCCTTGACCTCCCAGGCTCAAGTAATCTTCCCACCTCAGCCTCCCAAGTAGCTGAGACTACTGGTGTGCGCCACCATGCCTGGCTAACTTTTTTTTTTGCAGAGACCGAGTCTTGCCATGTTCCCCAGGCTAGTCTTGAACTCCTGGGCTCAAGCAATCCTCCTGCCTCAGCCTCTGAAGTGCTGGGATTACAGGTGTGAGCCACCATTAGCTTTCTGCCTGCCTGCCTGCCTGCCTGCCTGCCTGCCTTCCTTCCTTCCTTCCTTCGTTCCTTCCTTCCTTCCTTCCTTCCTTCCTTCCTTCCTTTCTTTCTCTTTCTCTTTCTTTCTTTTTTTCTTTCTTTCTCTTTCTTTTTTTCTTTCTTTCTCTTTCTTTCTTTCTTTCTTTCTCTTTCTTTGTCTCTCTTTCTCTCCCTTCTTCTTTCATTCTTTCTCTTTCTTTTCTTTTCTTTCCTTTTGGAGTCTCGCTCTGTCACCCAGGCTGGAGTGCAGTGGCGCAATTTCGGCTCACTGCAAGCTCTGCCTCCCGGGTTCAAGCAATTCTTCTGCCTCAGCTTCCTGAGTAGCTGGGACTACAGGTGCGTGCCACTGTGCCTGGCTAGTTTTTTGTATTTTTAGTAGAGATGGGGTTTCACCGTGTTAGCCAGGATGGTCTTGATCTCCTGACCTCGTGATCTGCCCGCCTTGGCCTCCCAAAGTGCTGGGATTACAGGCGTGAGCCACTGTGTCCGGCCCAGTGTTCCTTTCTAAGTGCATTTCATTGGTTTTCAAATGGCTTACTATGAAAGTCTTTAAGATTTGTTGCAGTTCTGGAGTCCCCATTCACGGTTCAGGTTTTTTTGAATGCACAATCTGGAACTTCCAAGTCCAGAGCTTTCCCTTGCCCCAATTTAGAGCTACCCCTGTCCCTCTGTGTGAGTCTTTGCATACACCCACACACAGAGATCTACTTGTCCTATTTGCTGTTATCAATAACATGTACAGTAATGACTGAGGTAGAGGGGAATCATTTAGTTTTAAGTTGAAACTTTGTGAGGAACATTGGTAAGAGTCCCGAGTGTTTACCTGTTCGCAGCCACTGGACTCTATAGGTCTCTACTATTTTGGTCCAGAAAAATTGTTGGCATAAGTACAATGAATCAGGAGAGCTTCATGGAAATTTCTTTTGTGCCTAGCATTGATTACAGTTAGTGACTGGAGCTGTCTCTAGCCACTTTTTGTTTTTCATGTATTTCCCTTACTCTAGGCGCTTGAAGAGGCTCAGAAAGCTATCCAACAACTCTTTGGCAAAATCAAAGATATCAAAGACAAAGCTGAAAAATCAGAGCAAATGGTGAGTTCTGGTTTCTTCCTAACCTTTTTGCACCAAAAGAGGAAGTGAGCTTCTCATCTAGGCATTCTAATAATGAGCTTTTTCTAATAATGGCACCTCCTGCCAACCAGAGTCATCTGCATCTCTAAAGCAAGCCCCCTATGAATGCGTTCAGATCAATTCAAGGGGAGCTGCTGGTCAGTGGTGGCTCACCATCTCTGCTGCCCTGTGTTTGCAGCCCTAGTTTTAAATAGGCAACTTTTTTGTTTTGTTTTGTTTTGTTTTTTGGGTATTTTTTTTTTTTTTTTTGAGATGGAGTCTTGCTCTGTCGCCAGCCTTGGAGTGCAGTGGTGCGATCTTGGCTCACTGCAACCTCCGCCTCCCAGGTTCAAGCGATTCCCCTGCCTCAGCCGCCCAAGTAGCTGGGATTACAGGCGCCTGCCACCACGCCCGGCTAATTTTTTGTATTTTTAGTAGAGAAAGGGTTTCACCATGTTGGCCAGGATGGTCTCAATCTCTTGACCTCATGATCCGCCCGCCTCGGCCTCCCAAAGTGCTGGGATTACAGGTGTGAGCCACTGTGCCCAGCTGCAACTTTTTTTTTTCTCCTTTCTGAAAATAGTTTCCTAGTCATTTTGGATTTTCCTTTCTCTAACATTTCTTGGTATTGGTATCATGCATTTCTCCATCGAGATGTACGGTATGTAGCTCGATGCACGCTGAGAATGGTCCTGGAGCCGGGAGGAGGGAGGGATGGAGGGAGGAGGGATGTCCCCGCCCATGATCTGTGTATGTGGTTTTGGTTGAGTTCTCCCCTGACAAATTTGTGTCCCCCGGTGTTGTGCTCAGAAGCTTGCCCCGAAGACCGAGAATCCAGCATTCACCTTCTCCTCCTCCATGGGAGGCGCTGGGAAGTGCTGGATCCTGGGTTCAGATTCAGACTCAATAATGTCCTGTCTGTCAGTTGTCTCAGAATTCCAGCTTCTTCAACTGTAAAATAAGAATAATGGCATTTGCCTCACAGGGTTGTTGTGAGAATTAAACGTATGAAGAGCACTGAGCATAGTCCTAGGGACCTGGATTTTCTGTGGTCCTTCCCCAAGGGTGCACCACACCCAGCAGCACCCAGGGGCCCTCGTCCTTCACCAAGGATGCACCACACCCAGCAGCACCCAGGGGCCCTCGTCCTTCCCCAAGGGTGCACCACACCCAGCAGCACCAGGGGCCCTCAAAGCGTGAAGATCAGCGAGAGTATCCGATGCTGCTTTTGCTGGAGTTGATTGCATTTATTGATATCCTTATGATGCTAATCTGTGTTCTGGAGTATGCTTCCTCTTCCAACCGAGGGGGTTTGCAGTGACAGTTTACTCCCAAGTTATGAGATGTCTTATTTTAAAGCAGCTTGCTTTCCTGGACAGTGCTGTGCTGAAGGGAGGAAGAGGTGGGAGTGAGGGGAGAAGTGATCTTTGTTGAGCTCTTTCAGTGCCAGCAGTGTGCTGGTTCCTTTGTGTCAGCACTCTAATTTAGCCCTCACCACAACCTTATGAACTAGGATTTATGTTCATTATTATCTTTGCGATTACCCATCTTATAGATGAGAAAACTGAGACTCAGTGAGGCTGAGAAACTTGTTCTAGGATGCATCGTTGGTGAGTGGTAGAGCTGGGGTTCAGCCCTAGATCTGTCTGACTCTACAACCTCCCATTTCATGCTCTACCCGTTTTCGCAGCCCGTGGGCAACAGTTGAGGCAAATCAACTATGGGCATTCTGTCTCACAGGTGGTCTCGTGTAAGTCAGTTGAGGCGAATCAACCATGGGCCTTCTGTCTCGCAGATGATCTCGTGTAGGTTTGACCTGAGTACCCCTGGTGTGCCCTGCCATTGATGGCTTTGTTTAGGGAAAAATCAGTGGTTCAGTTTGTCTAGAGAAACACAGGCTGTGGGATGGGGAGTGACGGGAGATCCTGGGAATAAAGAGACCAGTCAGCTCCAGTGCAGAGCAGTGAGGGCCTGAACAAGGAGTAGAGAGAAGGGATAGAGTCTTGAGATGAAGCAGAGGGAGAATATTTAGGACATAGAGAGAAGGGATAGAGTCTTGAGATGAAGCAGAGGGAGAATATTTAGGACATAGAGAGAAGGGATAGAGTCTTGAGATGAAGCAGAGGGAGAATATTTAGGACTTGATGCAGGGACCAGGAAGAGTCATAGATGATGTGACTTTGAACACAGTGGTTAAAGACCCCTGATGCAGCCGGGCACGGTGGCTCATGCCTGTAATCCCAGCAGTTTGGGAGGCCAAGGAGGGGGGATCACTTGAGGCCAGGAGTTCAAGACCAGCCTGGCCAACATGGCAAAACCGTGTCTCTACTAAAAATACAAAAATTAACCAGGCGTCGTGGAGCACACCTGTAATCCCAGCTACTCTGGAGGCTGAGGCAGAGAATCGCTTGCCTGGGAAGTGGAGGCTGCAGTGAACCAAGATCGCACTACTGCAGTACAGCCTGGGCGACAGAGCGAAACTCTATCTCAAAAAATAAAAAAATAAATAAATAAATAAAGACTCCCTATGTTAGACTGAAGCTAAAAACGCTGGAAGAGATACAGAGATTTTTTTGTAGGAAAAAGGATGCTGATTTCAGAGTTGCAAGTGGGTGATCAGGTTACAGGGCCAATCTTCAGCCTTCTATATCTAATTTATTATACCACTCCTGATTTATTTATTTTTATTTTTTTTGCCCCAAATTTAAGTATTTGGTAAAGTGGTGGTGGTCTTAACCTTTTTTTTTTTTTTTAATTCATTGGAAACAGAGATTGTTTGGAGGTTACAGGAGAGAAGGCTTGATGGGGAAGTCCCCATGAAAGAGGCTTTTTATAGCTAAGATCCAGGTAAGGCTTGCAGGATCATAGGTGTGGAATTGAGCTGTGCAGGTCGTAACCTGTATGAGTTCACCTAGGGTGATCAGACCCTGAAAGAGCAGGGCACACGAACTCACGGCCGAGTGTCTCACTTCAGTGGGATGTATCTATCCACGAACTCACGGCCGAGTTTCTCACTTCAGTGGGATGTATCTATCCACGAACTCACGGCCGAGTGTCTCACTTCAGTGGGATGTATCTATCCACGAACTCACGGCCGAGTGTCTCACTTCAGTGGGATGTATCTATCCACGAACTCACGGCCGAGTATCTCACTTTAGTGGGATGTATCTACCCACGAACTCCCTGCCGAGTTTCTCACTTTAGTGCGATGTATCTATCCAAGAACTCACGGCCAAGTTTCTCACTTTGGTGGGATGTATCTATCCACGAACTCCCTGCCGAGTTTCTCACTTCAGTGGGATGTATCTATCCACGAACTCACGGCCAAGTTTCTCACTTCAGTGGGATGTATCTATCCACGAACTCACGGCCGAGTTTCTCACTTCAGTGGGATGTATCTATCCACGAACTCACGGCCGAGTTTCTCACTTCAGTGGGATGTATCTATCCACGAACTCACGGCCGAGTGTCTCACTTCAGTGGGATGTATCTATCCACGAACTCACGGCCGAGTTTCTCACTTTAGTGGGATGTTATCTATCCACGAACTCACGGCCGAGTGTCTCACTTCAATGGGATGTATCTATCCACGAACTCCCTGCTGAGTTTCTCACTTTAGTGGGATGTAACTATCCACGAACTCCCTGCCGAGTTTCTCACTTTAGTGGGATGTATCTATCCACGAACTCACGGCCGAGTATCTCACTTTAGTGGGATGTATCTATCCACGAACTCCCTGCCGAGTTTCTCACTTTAGTGGGATGTATCTATCCACGAACTCACGGCCGAGTATCTCACTTTAGTGGGATGTATCTATCCACGAACTCCCTGCCGAGTTTCTCACTTTAGTGCGATGTATCTATCCAAGAACTCACGGCCGAGTTTCTCACTTTAGTGGGATGTATCTATCCACGAACTCCCTGCCGAGTTTCTCACTTTAATGAGGATATATCTATCCACGACCTCAACGGCCGAGTTTCTCACTTTAATGAGGATGTATCTATCCACAAACTCACGGCCAAGTTTCTCACTTTAATGAGGACGTATCTATCCATGAACTCATGGCCAAGTTACTCACTTTAATGGGATGTATCTATCCAGTGACTACAGTATTTGTGTTTGGTATCCAGGGCACTCCCTTCCTTCCAGGTATCACAGAACCTGGGCAACCAAATTGCTATTAAGAAACTTTCGCTATGTGCACCGGAAGACAAAGGTCCTCTTTTCCTTGCCTAATGCAGCCATGGCTCGTGGTGCCAAGAAGCATCTGAAGCGGGTAGCAGCTCCAAAGCATTGGATGCTGGATAAATTGACCGGTGTGTTTGCTCCTCGTCCGTCCACCAGTCCCCACAAGTTGAGAGAGTGTCTTCCCCTCATCATTTTCCTAAGGAACAGACTTAAGAAGATTTGCATGCAGCGGTTCATTAAGATCGATGGCACGGTCCGAACTGATATAACATACCCTGCTGGGTTCATGGATGTCATCAGCATTGACAAGACAGGAGAGAATTTCCATCTGATCCGTGACACCAAAGGTTGCTTTGCTGTACACCTGAGGAGACCAAGTACAAGTTGTGCAAAGTGAGAAAAATCTTTGTGGGCACAAAAGGAATCCCTCATCTGGTGACTCATGATGCTCGCACCATCCGCTACCCTGACCCCTCATCAAGGTGAATGACACCATTCAGATTGATTTGGAGACTGGCAAGATGACCGATTTCATCACGTTCGACACTGGCAAGCCATATATGGTGACTGGAGGTGCTCACCTGGGAAGAGTTGGTGTGATCCCCAACAGAGAGAGGTACCCGGGATCTTCTGACGTGGTTCATGTGAAAGACACCAGTGGCAACAGCTTTGGCACTCAAGTTTCCAACATTTTCACTATTGGCAAGGGCAACAAACGATGGATTTCTCTTCCCCGAGGAAAGGGTATCCGCCTCACCATTGCTGAAGAGAGAGACAAGAGACTGGCGGCCAAACAGAGCAGCGGGTGAAATGGTCCGTGGGTGACATGTTAGATCTTTGTACGTAATTAAAAATAATGTGGCATGATAAAACACACACACACACACACACACACACACACATTTCTTAGTCAGCATGGACCAAGAAACACAGTGGATGATTTCACCTGGGTGTTAGTAAAGTTGGGGAATTTTTCCAACTTCTCTATTGAATATGCTTTTCTGGTGACTGAAATATACTTGCATTCCCAGAGACAGCTTCTCTTCTCTTGGACCTGCTGAAACAACACTGTCAGGCTCTTACTCCCCAAATTGCCTTCTCACTCCCTGAAGACTGCTCCTGCCCTCCTAGTAACTTACATGTTAAGCGTATGTTACAGAGCTTATATTTCAATCTTCTTGAGATTTGAAAGTCTTCTTTGCTGGAAGCTCAGGCCCTCATTCCATTAGTAAAGACCGTCTGAGTACCTAGTACTGACTGATAGGTGTTTTATATGGCCCAGCGGCTTCATCACCAGAAGGCACACTTTCCTCACCTTGTTCAAGGAAAGGTGCTGTGCTTACCTCCTCTGTCCTGTGTGCTCAATACTGAATTGCTGTTTGGATCATTTCATTTGGGGTAAAAAAATAAAGTTCATTTCATGCTCACAACTGAAGGTTTTATAACCCTGAGTAAAGTCCAAAGAGATGCCACATTAAATTTTAAATGCCTGGTTGGAAATTATTTTTATTTTGTATTGTGAGAATGTTTGCTAACCTGAGATTTTTCCCTGCTTCATCTGCATTCGTTTCTTACAGAGCTACTTGCAGAAGTGTTTTACATCTTTCTTGACCGTCTTCCTTTCTTTCTTGTGGTTTTTCAATGTTTAGGTGAAAGAAATCACCCGTGATATTAAGCAATTAGATCACGCCAAACGCCACCTGACCACCTCAATCACCACACTGAACCACCTGCACATGCTGGCAGGAGGTGTCGACTCCCTCGAGTAAGCAATGCCAACTTTCTCTTTTGGGGCCACGGGAAATGTATCGCATAGAGAAAATGGTGTTGTCGCCTATTTACTTCTCAGCCAGGAAAGTCTCACCATCCTGCCCCACTTTCTGCAAATTGGCTTCAAGTGTTCAGTCACCATTTTTGCTTTGTGCCCTCTGGTGTTCAGAACCTAACAAACACTGGCAGCTAGTCAAAAGGGGACCCCAGAAGCCTTTCAGGACGACTCCAAGAATATGGCCCATCTTCAGGCTGTGGCTCTGTACCATCAAGGCAGACAGAGTGACACAGGGCCATATTCACTCCAGGCAGACAGAGTGACACAGGCCCATATGCACTCCAGGCAGACAGAGTGACGCGGGCCCATATTCACTCCAGGCAGACAGAGTGACACAGGCCCATATTCACTCCCTGCTGCTTCTGCCTCAGCAGGTTTCCTGCTTGCGTTGGGCTGAGTTGCACTGTCATGGAAGAGACCCTATGAGACAGAACTCAATCATTCAAACCACTTTTTTTTATAAAGTAGATTTCCGTTTGGCTTGTAGAGGGAATGATACATCAGAACATTAGAAATAGAGAAGGAAGAGCTGGTGATTTACTACAAAGGAGCAATCTAAAGCCTCCTTTACTAGCAAGATTCTGACACTCCAGCTCACCTCTGTGGCCCGTCTCAGGCTGGGGACTCCCCCTGCTCCAGCCTCAGTGTGATTCCGTATGTGGACAGGGAAAGCGCATCGTCATAGAAACTGAGATGCAGCATTCAAAGTCCTGGGTGGGGGAAGTGGGAGAGTGCCTTGAGGGAAAGAGGAGGAGGGGCGGGCCCCTTCCTGACCTCTCTAGGTATTGGATGAGCTCCAGGGATGCCTGGTCCACTCTCCTGTGAGCAGTGAGAGCAGCGGCCAGAGGGAGGCCAGAGGGCGGTCACATTTGTTCCTTCGTGGGGTGGTCGGTGTCCACCAAACCATCAGACCAGGCAGTGGTAAGACTGGGCGGTGGTAAGACCAGGCGGTGGTAAAACCAGGTGGTGGTAGCAACGGAACACCTTGGCTTGAACTTGATCCTGTCTTTTTCTTTTTTCTTTTTTTTTTTTTTTTTTGAGTTGGAGTCTGGCTCTGTCGCCCAGGCTGGAGTGCAGTGGCGCGATCTAGGCTCACTGCAAGCTCCGCCTCCCGGGTTCCCGCCATTCTCCTGCCTCAGCCTCCCGAGTAGCTGGGACTACAGGCGCCCGCCACTAAGCCCGGTTAATTTTTGTATTTTTAGTAGAGACGGGGTTTCGCCGTGTTAGCCAGGATGGTCTCGATCTCCTGACCTTGTGATCTGCCCGCCTCGGCCTCCCAAAGTGCTGGGATTACAGGCTTGAGCCACCGCGCCCGGCCAATCCTGTCTTTTTCAATGCTTCTTATGGAAAATCATAAATTACAAATTTAATGAAATAACCCAACCCTAATGAAAAATTTAGATCTAATAGTTTATATTTCCTCCCTGTGTGTAACTTGATTTTATCAGCATCCTTTTATTTAAGCGTCATTAACCTTAGCAGTAGGGAAAGTAGAGGTCTGTGATACAGACGCCTTAGAACCTACAGATTTCAGTTAATAGGTAAAGTGCTGCTCTTTGTGTATTTTTGTTTTTGTTTTTGAGACGGAGTCTCCCACTGTCACCCTGGCTGGAGTGCAGTGGCACGATCTCGGGTCACTGAAACCTCCGCCTCCCAGGTTCAAGTGAGTCTCTTGCCTCAGCCTCCCGAGTAGCTGGGATTACAGGCATCCACCACCACGCCCAGCTAATTTTGTGTATTTTTAGTAGAGACGGTGTTTCACCGTGTTGGCCAGGATGATCTCGATCTCGTGACTTCGTGATCTGCCCGCCTCGGCCTCCCACAGTGTGGGTATGACAGGCGTGAGCCACCTCGGCCTCCCACAGCGCGGGGATGACAGGCTGAGCCACCGCGCCTGGCCGCACCCTTTGTGTTTGGTTTGCTCATAGGCTGTAATCCTCAGATAGTAACATCCCTACCCCGGTTCTCTGTCCCAAGCTTGCTAATCCCATAATATCCAACCCAAATTCTAAATTCATCGTCTTCCCAGATTCCCCTCCCCACACCAAATGAGAATTCATCACTCACACATTCTTCCTGCCGTAGCACATAATTTGTACTTCTGTTTAGAACATAGTTCATCCTTTTTGATACTAGTTAGATGTGTACTTGACTCTCTCCCTTACTATATGGTGTCACCTTGAGGATTTGGACCAGATCCTGTTTTTTCCTCCCACAACGCACAGCAGCTTATATACTCAGTGCTCAGCGAACGTTGATTCAGCTGAGTTGATATCTGTTTGAGAGCTAGCGTGGGTTGTTCTGTGTCTGTATCTTGCGTCTTTAGTGTTTTTCTAGACTTTTAAACTTATTCTTTCCTTGCAGAGCCATGACCAGGCGAAGACAATACGGAGAAGTTGCTAATCTCCTTCAGGGTGTGATGAATGTCCTGGAGCACTTCCACAAGTATATGGGGATTCCGCAGATCCGGCAGCTTTCCGAAAGGTAAACTGTCACCAGAGGGAAAGTATATGGGGATTCCGCAGATCCGGCAGCTTTCCGAAAGGTAAACTGTCACCAGAGGGAAAGTATATGGGGATTCCGCAGATCCGGCAGCTTTCCAAAAGGTAAACTGTCACCGGAGGGAAAGTATATGGGGATTCCACAGATCCGGCAGCTTTCCGAAAGGTAAACTGTCACTGGAGGGAAAGTATATGGGGATTCCGCAGATCCGGCAGCTAAACTTTCCAAAAGGTAAACTGTCACCGGAAGAAGTGATCTTGCTTTCAGAAAAGGACCTGGTGCTAGGAAGTGCTTAAGCACTTAGCTCAGCGTGTTCACTGCAGAGTCTTAGTGTGTGAAGGAATATCAGATGCTACCTGATCTAACTGTCTGGTGCAGACGTTCCCCCACTTTACCCCTTCCCATGTCTTCCAAAGCTGCCTGTGGTAGATAGTTACAGTTGTATATATGGACAACTCTCAGTTGTCCCCATTTGTGAGAGAAACTGTTCTAGGTATCTATTTCTTTGTAACAAACCAGCACAAAACTTAGTAGCTTAAAACAATAATTGTTTTGCACGTATAATTTGGCCTGGCTCGGGGACCAGCTCATCCCTGCTCCGTGCAGCATTAGCCGAGGCAGCTCAGGAGGGGACTGGAGAATGCATTGGCTCACTCTCATGGCTGGCTCCTTGGTGCTTGCTGTCAGCTGGGAGCTTGGCCAGGCCGTTGCTGGGATTCTTTGTTGTCTTCCACGGGCTGCTTGGACTTCCTCACGGTAAGGTGGCTGGTTCCAAGAATGAGCGTCCCAAGAGAACCAAGCCTTGGAAATTTCATAGCATCACTTCTGCCATAGTCACAAGGCTGCTAAGATTCAAGAGGAAGGAACATAGTCTTCTCCCACCCACTAACGGGAGGAATGTCAAAGTCACATTGTTACAAAAAGCATGTGGGATGGGATAGATTGCTGTGGCGGTCTTTAGAAAATACAGTGAGCCACGGCCGGGTATGGTGGCTCACACCTGTAATCCCAGCACTTTGGGAGGCCGAGGCGGGTGGATCACCCGAGGTCAGGAGTTCGAGGCCAGCCTGGCCAACATGGCGAAACCCCGTCTCTACTAAAAATACAAAAATTATCTGGACATGGTGGCAGGTGCCTGTAATCCCAGCTACTCGGGAAGCTGAGGCAGGAGTCACTTGAACCTGGGAAGTGGAGGTTGCAGTGAGCTGAGATCCTGCCATTGTACTCTAGCCTGGGCGACAGGGTGAGACTCAAAAAAAAAAAAAAATACAGTGAACCACAAAAACTTTAGATACGATAAAAAGATGACTTTCCCCCCAACCTTATTCTTTCCTTCTTATTGCTGTTGAGTTTTAATCCCAGATTCAGATCCAGTGGAAAGGAAAGTAATTTCTCAGAGCGAAGGAGGATGAGGATTCCAAGGGAGGACGAGGAGGAGTTGATGCACCACCTTTTCTGTTAGAAGGAGGGGCAGGAAGAACACTGAGAAGGCAGAGACCGTCACAATTGACAAATTCTAACCTTCCTTGCAGCAAAGAAGAAATGAAGGCGTTGTTACTGAGCAGCAGCTACGTTTCTGACTCTGCCTTCTTAATAAGGCCCGAATGCTACAGGCTTCTTTGTTTTCCTTAAGTTTCCTTATTTGTAATTATATAAGTAATACACATAGACTTTAAAAAATAGAGACAGGGTCTCACTCTGTCACCCAGGATGGAGTGTAGTGGCAGAATTACTGCTCACTGCAGCTTGGAACTCCTGGGCTCAAGTGATCCTCCCACCACAGTTTCCCAAGCAGCTGGGACTACAAGCACGCAGCACCTCACCCAACTAACTTTGTTACTTTTTTGTAGAGACAGGGTCTCACTCTGTGGCCCAGGGCTGGTCTTGGGCTCCCAGTGCATCGGGGTTACAGGCGTGAGCCACTGCACCTGGTTCCACATCTTCTATTGTTTAAAAAGGTCAAATATGTATACAGGTGAAACCTAAGTTCCCTTTACCTAGACTTCAGAATCCCATTGTTGTCCTCAGAGGTGGTAATTGTTATCAGTTTAATGGCTATCACTGCGGATTTGTGTGTGTGTATTTACGTAAATCTGTAGTTTAATGGCTATCGCTCCGGATTTGTGTGTGTGTATTTACATAAATCTGTAGTTTCAGTGGCTATCGCTCTGGATTTGTGTGTGTATTTACATAAATCTATAGTTTTAATCCTATCTCTCCGGATTTGTGTGTGTATTTATATAAATCTATAGTTTCAGTTAATGGCTTTGTTTTTGCTTTGTTTTGTTTTAACTAAATGGTTTCATGCCTTACGCTTTATTCTAAAAACTGCTTTTTGTTTTCAACCACATGTATTTTAGATATTTTTTTTCTCATCAGTATGTATAAACCTGCTTCATTCTCTGGAATTGATGCACAGAACCCCATAGCGTGACATACCACAGATTATTTCACCATTTTGGTAGCACTAGGTCGTTGTTTCTAATTCTTAAAATATGCCCCCTTTTGCACATATGCAAGTATTTCTCTGGGACAGATTCTGGGTTATAGGTTTGTATACATTTAAAATTTTAGTAGCTACTGCCCATTTGCCCTCCAGCAAAGCTTTATATACTTGTAGTACGATCTGTACTGTATGAGAGCACCCTTACCCTCAGCAACACTTGATATTGTTGTTTTTCATTTTTATCTATCTTATGGTTGAAAACGGTATCCGGTTCCTTTAATTTTCATTTTCCTTGTAGCTAGTAAGATTAGTGTTTTGTTTTGTTTTTTTGAGACGGAGTCTTGCTGTGTTGCCCAGGCTGGAGTGCAGTGGCGTGGTCATAGCTCACTGCAACCTGGAACTCCTGGGCTCAAACCATCCTCCTGCCTCCACCTCCTGAGTAGCCAGGAATACAGGCAAATACCACCATGCCTGGCTGATTTTTAACATTTTTCTGTAGAGGTGGGATCTTCTTATGTTGCCCAGGTTGGTCTTCAACTCCTGGGCTCAAGTGATCCTCCTGCCTCATCCTCCCAAAGTGCTGGGATTACAAGCGTGAGCCACTGTACCTAGCCCCAGTTGTCTTCTTCCTCTAAACACTCATGAGTTTCTCATACTCTAAGAAATTATTCTCCTTTATTCCTTTCTTTGAGTAGTCTCTACAACTTGGTCTCTGCATTCTTTCCTTGTGGAATTCTTGTTACGTGAACGTTGGATCTTCTAGATCTGCTGCCATGTCTCTTAATTTTCCTTTCATGCTTTCTGTCTCTTTGTCCTTTTGAACTGCTTTCTGAAAGAATTCCTCAACCCAGTCTTCCTATTTTAATTTATTCTTCACTTGCATCCATTGTGCTATTTGGCCCAGCTGTTGAATTTTTATTTTAAAAATCCAGCTTTTTAATTTCCAGCATATCTAGCTGATTCTTTTCTCATGGGCATAATATTCTCATGTCTCTCCCACGGAATAGAAATTATGTGTTTGTTAAAGCACTGGGTTGCCTGTTCCATTTCTCTGTCCTACAGTGTACAATCTTCAGTGCCTGTTCCATTCCTCTGTCCTCCAGTGTAAGATCTTCAGTGCGTGTTCCATTCCTCTGTCCTCCAGTGTAAGATCTTCAGTGCCTGTTCCATTTCTCTGTCCTCAAGTGTAAGCTCTTCAGTGCCTGTTCCATTCCTCTGTCCTCCACTGTAAGATCTTCAGTGCCTGTTCCATTCCTCTGTCCTCCAGTGTAAGATCTTCAGTGCCTGTTCCATTCCTCTGTCCTCCAGTGTAAGATCTTCAGTGCCTGTTCCATTCCTCTGTCCTCCAGTGTAAGATCTTCAGTGCCTGTTCCATTCCTCTGTCCTCCAGTGTAAGATCTTCATTGCCTGTTCCATTCCTCTGTCCTCCAGTGTAAGATCTTCGGTGCCTGTTCCATTCCTCTGTCCTCCAGTGTAAGATCTTCGGTGCCTGTTCCATTCCTCTGTCCTCCAGTGTAAGATCTTCGGTGCCTGTTCCATTCCTCTGTCCTCCAGTGTAAGATCTTCGGTGCCTGTTCCATTCCTCTGTCCTCTAGTGTAAGATCTTCGGTGCCTGTTCCATTCCTCTGTCCTCCAGTGTAAGATCTTCGGTGCCTGTTCCATTCCTCTGTCCTCCAGTGTAAGATCTTCAGTGCCTGTTCCATTCCTCTGTCCTCCAGTGTAAGATCTTCAGTGCCTGTTCCATTCCTCTGTCCTCCAGTGTAAGATCTTCAGTGCCTGTTCCATTCCTCTGTCCTCCAGTGTAAGATTTTCATTGCCTGTTCATTCCTCTGTCCTCTAGTGTAAGATCTTCATTGCCTGTTCCATTCCTCTGTCCTCCAGTGTAAGATCTTCAGTGCCTGTTCCATTCCTCTGTCCTATAGTGTAAGATCTTAGTGCCTGTTCCATTCCTCTGTCCTCCAGTGTAAGATCTTCAGTGCCTGTACCATTCCTCTGTCCTCCAGTGTAAGATCTTCATTACCTGTTCCATTCCTCTGTCCTCCAGTGTAAGATCTTCAGTGCCTGTTCCATTCCTCTGTCCTATAGTGTAAGATCTTCAGTGCCTGTTCCATTCCTCTGTCCTCCAGTGTAAGATCTTCAGTGCCTGTTCCATTCCTCTGTCCTCCAGTGTAAGATCTTCAGTTTGTTCAGCATGGCAATTCTTTCTCTTTAGCATTTCTCAAATGTTTAGTGATTCTTAGCTGAAACCTCATTTTTATTTTATTTGTTTATTTTTTGAGACCAAGTCTCACTCCATCGCCCAGGCTGGAGTGCAGTGGCACAATCTCAGCTCACTGCAATCGCCGCCTCCTGGGTTTAAGCAATTCTCCTGCCTCAGCCTCCCAAGTAGCTGGGACTACAGGCGCCCACCACCCATGCCCAGCTAAGTTTTGTATTTTTAGTAGAGACAGGGTTTCACCATGTTGGCCAGGCTGGTCTCGAACTCTTGACACCTCAAGTGATCCACCTGTCTCAGTCTCCCAAAGTGCTGGGATGACAGGTGTGAGCCACCGTGCCCGGCCTTATTTTTATTTTTGACATTCTCTATTAGTCTGATCAAGAATGCTCTTTTACTGCTACCTGCTCGTGGGCGAGAAATGGGAATTGCTACTTGGCTAAGTGTATCACAGACAGCTTTTCCAAAGTGAGGGGGGCCAGACCTGGAGAAACCTGCCAGGTGGGTGTCCCAGCAGCTGATCTCCTAGGCTTGGAGGCTCCCTGGTCTTCTTGGGTGTTGGCCGCCCCTCTGGCTACTGCTGAAGTTCTCAGACCCAGAGGCCCACCCCTGCCGCCTGACGTGAGCATTCACGCATTCACGGTGTGGGTGCAGACACGGACAGCGGCCCCATCCTGCTCCTGGTATCGCCACCTTCATGTCTTTCATTTTCGAGAAGCATTTTTGGGCAGTGATTTTCTGTCATCCTTCCTACCAGGAAGTCCTCAGGCTTCTAGTATACCACTTTTCTTGTCTGGATTTGGATTTTCATGAAAATCTTTTTATTATTTCTGACGCTCCGGGGCAGGAATGGGAGGTTGCAACGTGTGCTCAGTGTGCATCTTGCCGAGCTTGGCAGAACGCTAGGGAAATCGCCACCCTTTCCCTCATCCTTCCTACCCCTCACACCTAGAGCCAGCTGATCACCTTATCAGACTGGACTGTGAGGCAGCCAAGAAAGCAGGCGAACAGGACTTTATGAGCTGCAAGAAAGAAGGAGCCTGGATGGAGCAGGCAGATTTGCTGTCAGCGGATGGGGGAGGAGGAAGGCAGTCCCTTCTACCCCTGCTCTCAGGATGATTCAGAGTTGATCTCTTTCATATTCATTTGTTCTTTTCTTCATTTGCATGATAGATATTTACTCTGCATTTTCTACATCCTAGGCCCCGTGCTGGGGACTGAAGGCACAAAGATAAGAAATACACACTCTCTGCCTTCAAAGAGTTCACCATTTTTGTATGGAGAAGAAAGACATTAATAGAAGATTCCAGTATAACAGATGTAACAAAACTGGTATATGCTGTACAAGGCATAGCAGGATCTCAGAAGAGGAATTGATAGGCTGAAGCAGGGGCTGAGGGCAGGGGTCATAGACAAATTCTGTTTTAATCTGAATCTTAAAAGAATGGGTGGGATCTTACCAACGTGACAGTAATGGGGGAAAGAAGGAAGAGGGAGTCTCATGGAGTTTGGAGGCAGCAGAGGGAGACAGGGCTGCATAGGTAGATCGGGTCAGGTTTTATATGCCTTGCTAAATAATTTATTTTTTATTTTGTGGACAGTGAAAGATTTTAAGTGCGGGGGGCATGATCTCACTTGTATTTTGTAAAAGTCTAGTGGATTATAGAGGTACAGGAGTCTGGATAAAATAAGACCCTTAGGAGGCAGTGGCCACGCGGTCACGGAGATGTGTGTGGGAGCCGATCTCCAGTCCGTGATATGGATTAGAAAAGATAAGACCCTTAGGAGGCAGTGGCCACGCGGTCACGGAGATGTGTGTGGGAGCCGATCTCCAGTCAGTGGTGTGGATTAGAAAAGATAAGACCCTTAGGAGGCAGTGGCCACGCGGTCACGGAGATGTGTGTGGGAGCCAGTCTCCAGTCCGTGATATGGATTAGAAAAGATAAGACCCTTAGGAGGCAGTGGCCACGCGGTCACGGAGATGTGTGTGGGAGCCGATCTCCAGTCAGTGGTGTGGATTAGAAAAGATAAGACCCTTAGGAGGCAGTGGCCATGCGGTCACGGAGATGTGTGTGGGAGCCAGTCTCCAGTCCGTGATACGGATTAGAAAAGATAAGACCCTTAGGAGGCAGTGGCCACGCGGTCACGGAGATGTGTGTGGGAGCCAATCTCCAGTCAGTGGTATGGATTAGAAAAGATAAGACCCTTAGGAGGCAGTGGCCACACGGTCACGGAGATGTGTGTGGGAGCCGATCTCCAGTCCGTAGTATGGATTAGAAAAAATAAGACCCTTATCAGGCAGAGGCCACGCGGTCATGGAGATGTGTGTGGGAGCCGATCTCCAGTCCGTGGTATGGATTAGAAAAGATAAGACCCTTATCAGGCAGAGGCCACACGGTCACGGAGATGTGTGTGGGAGCCAGTCTCCAGTCCGTGGTATGAATTAGAAAAGATAAGACCCTTATCAGGCAGAGGCCACGCGGTCACCGAGATGTGTGTAAGAGCCAGTCTCCAGTCCGTGGTATGAATTAGAAAAGATAAGACCCTTATCAGGCAGAGGCCACGCGGTCACCGAGATGTGTGTGGGAGCCAGTCTCCAGTCCGTGATATGGATTAGAAAAGATAAGACCCTTAGGAGGCAGTGGCCACACGGTCACGGAGATGTGTGTGGGAGCCAGTCTCCAGTCCGTGGTATGAATTAGAAAAGATAAGACCCTTATCAGGCAGAGACCACGCGGTCACGGAGATGTGTGTAAGAGCCAGTCTCCAGTCCGTGATATGGATTAGAAAAGATAAGACCCTTAGGAGGCAGTGGCCACACGGTCACGGAGATGTGTGTGGGAGCCTATCTCCAGTCGGTATAAAGGAAGGGGTTGTGCATGGCAGGAACATGACAGAACTAACTTTTATTTGGCAGAAACCAGCATAGGGATTCGTTAATAACTCAAAATGGATCTGTAACCTAGATGTAAAACCTAATTCTAAAACTCTTAGAAGAAAACGAAGACCAGATCTTCACACCACTGTATTTGGCAGCAGTTTCTTGGATATGACACCAAAGTCCTAGGCAACAAAAGGAAAACATAGATAAATGGGACTTTATGAAAAATTTTAAAACTTGTGCATGAAAAAACACTATCAGCAGGGTAAAATGGCAATGCACAGAATGGGAAGAATATTTCCAAATCATTTATCTGATAATGGATTAATATCTAGAATATATAAAGAATTCCCAGAAATCAACAACAAAAAGCCAAACAACTCAATTAAAAAACCAGCAAAGGATTTGAATAAGCATTTCTCCAAAGAAGATAAATAAATGGCCAATAAACATGAAAAGATGCCCCCGTTAGGACGTGAAGTGACACTGCATTGTGGTTTCCACCTGCATTTCTCCAACAGGCTTTTTAGGTTGATGTAGTCCCACTTGTTTCTTTTTGCTTTTGCTGCCTGTACTTTTGGTGGGCTCTTTGCTTTTCAACATTTGTTTAAAGAGGTAGTTTTAAAAATTTGAAGGAACTTAATAATCACTGTTATAATCACATTCCTGAAAAATAGAAAGTCCAACATTCTATGAATATATTTCAGTGCTCCAAACATTCATTATCACATAAGGTTGCTGCAAACACAGGAGGATTTACTTATCTTTTAGTTCATTTCGCAATCTCTATTTGCAATAATTTTGTGTAGGTTAATACAGAATATGTGCTATTAAGTAACACTAAAAAGGCTGGGCATGGTGGCTCACACCTGGAGTCCCAGCACTTTGGTAGGCTGAGACAGGCAGATCGCTTGAGCTCTGGAGTTCAAGACCAGCCTGGACAACATGGTGAAACCCTGTCTCTACCAAAAATACAAAAAGTGAGCTGGTGTGGTGATGTGTGCCTGTGGTTCCAGTTACTTGGGAGGCTGAAATGGGAGGATCACTTGAGCTCCGGAAGTGGAGGCTGCAGTGAGCCGAGACTGTGCCACTGCACTCCAGCCTGGGCAAGAAAGCAGACCCGTCTCGGGGGAAAAAAAAAAATAACACTAAAAAGAGCACAAGAGGAGACAACTTCTTATTTTTATTTTCAGTGCTTGACTAGGATTGTTTTTTTAAGAGGTACTAAACGTTTGAGAAAAGTCCAGACTTCTTATTTTTAGCATCCTTTCTGGTGAATTTGCTTCCCTTATGTTTACGTGCTGATGGTAGAACCATCTGGAAATGAGAGAAATAGCTATTTGTTGTAAGGGGCGGGAGATGGCAGGCGGGTTACCACCCTCTGCATTGCTTCCGTTTCTCAAATTTACTGTCTTGCTGTCTGTAAAGTGTAGAAGTCATGTGAAAAGTTGTGTTCTGAAATCTTTGCCTGTACATTTGAAATAGGAAGTTCATGAGCCTTGATTTGAGCATAGCTAATTCTTCCAACTACCCTTCTGGCAAATGCTTCCATGCTTAATGTAGCATTGGAGGAAAGAGTTTTTTCTTTAGCATCTTTACATTTCAAATCCTCCTGGCCTAAGCATATCCGTGAAAGGGAATGTTTCTAGTCATCAGTCAGTATCTCCCAATGAAGAATGGAAGAGCCTTACATTCTCTTGAAAACCATGAAACTCTTGAACGAAAATATATTTTTCACAGCCATTTCTAACCTCTTATAAATGTGAGAAAGGCTTGGCAGGTCTCATGATGGAGTGAAAAAAGAACTCAACCTGGAAATGGACAGGCCTGCACAGCTCTATGGCCTCGACAAGTTCCTCCTGGGCCTCCTGGGTTGACACGTATGAGTGTTGTCCTCGGTTTCCAAGTATGAGTGTTGTCCTCAGTTGCCAAGTATGAGTGTTGTCCTTGATTTCCAAGTATGAGTGTTGTCCTCGCTTTCCAAGTATGAGTGTTGTCCTCACTTTCCAAGTATGAGTGTTGTCCTCACTTTCCAAGTATGAGTGTTGTCCTCGCTTTCCAAGTATGAGTGTTGTCCTCGCTTTCCAAGTATGAGTGTTGTCCTCGGTTTCCAAGTATGAGTGTTGTCCTCGGTTGCCAAGTATGAGTGTTGTCCTCGGTTTCCAAGTATGAGTGTTGTCCTCGGTTTCCAAGTATGAGTGTTGTCCTCAGTTGCCAAGTATGAGTGTTGTCCTTGATTTCCAAGTATGAGTGTTGTCCTTGATTTCCAAGTATGAGTGTTGTCCTCGCTTTCCAAGTATGAGTGTTGTCCTCGCTTTCCAAGTATGAGTATTGTCCTCAGTTGCCAAGTATGAGTGTTGTCCTCGGTTTCCAAGTATGAGTGTTGTCCTCAGTTGCCAAGTATGAGTGTTGTCCTCGGTTTCCCAGTATGAGTGTTGTCCTCACTTTCCAAGTATGAGTGTTGTCCTCACTTTCCAAGTATGAGTGTTGTCCTCGGTTTCCAAGTATGAGTGTTGTCCTCAGTTGCCAAGTATGAGTGTTGTCCTCGCTTTCCAAGTATGAGTGTTGTCCTCGCTTTCCAAGTATGAGTGTTGTCCTCGCTTTCCAAGTGTGAGTGTTGTCCTCGGTTTCCAAGTATGAGTGTTGTCCTCAGTTGCCAAGTATGAGTGTTGTCCTTGATTTCCAAGTATGAGTGTTGTCCTCGCTTTCCAAGTATGAGTGTTGTCCTCGCTTTCCAAGTATGAGTGTTGTCCTCGCTTTCCAAGTATGAGAGTTGTCCTCGGTTGCCAAGTATGAGTGTTGTCCTCGGTTGCCAAGTATGAGTGTTGTCCTCGATTTCCAAGTATGAGTGTTGTCCTCGATTTCCAAGTATGAGTGTTGTCCTCGCTTTCCAAGTATGAGTGTTGTCCTCGCTTTCCAAGTATGAGTGTTGTCCTTGATTTCCAAGTATGAGTGTTGTCCTCGCTTTCCAAGTATGAGTGTTGTCCTCGCTTTCCAAGTATGAGTGTTGTCCTCGGTTGCCAAGTATGAGTGTTGTCCTCGGTTGCCAAGTATGAGTGTTGTCCTCGCTTTCCAAGTATGAGTGTTGTCCTCGCTTTCCAAGT